>NC_000002.12:29201124-29353874 GCF_000001405.40 Homo sapiens | reverse complement strand
GGGATGTCCATGAAGAATTCAGCAGAGTCTGAATGCATTAGGTTGAATCATGTGAAACTGCCACTTTTATGTGCCCAGAACAGTACAATGTCACCAGTTTCATCTGGTTCAACCTAATAGGAAGCCTTCAATAAATGCTTTTTTTTTTTTTAGATCCTCACTTCATCATGACCTTCTCCACTAGAAAATATTGAAACCTCAACACACTGCCTTTGGGTCATTTACAGTTCAACACAAGTGTGTAATGAACAAAACACCTCTCCCTGGTGTACAGACAGGAGCAGGCTTTAGCTCCAACACCACCTTGTAAATTCCCTGCCCTCTGCTCTCTAGAGATGGAGGTTTGCTGTGCATGGAGCCAGACCCAGACTCGGCAAAGCAATAAAAGCTCTGTGTTCTCAGGTTGGAAAATTCCAGAGATGAGTCTTCTGTTTAATCATGTCATTTTTTTGCTCTCTTCCCTGAAAATTGGAGTAATTGCAAAATGTAAATACACAAAAAGTGAAAAAAATTGGTGATTGATTGATAGGAAGGAATAATGCATCAAGCTCATTATCTTCCCCTGGAGTAGCACACAGCCAGACCTGAAGCTCTTCTAAGCACAGGCAGGGCCTGATGGAGGACATGGGGCCACAAGAACAGATGGGCCAGTTTACTGATCTGGGTGGTGCCAGATGATCCATTGAGTAGAGGGTCTGCAAATATCTCAAGCATTGATTTTAGGTTTTACAATAGTGATGTTGTCCCCAGGAGCAATTTGAGGAGGTTCAGAATCTTGCAGCCTCCAGCTGCATGACTCCTAAACAATAATTTCTAATCTTGTAGCTAGTCTGTTAGTCCTACAAAGGCAGTCTGGTCCCCAGGCAAGAAGGAGGTTTGTTTTGGGAAAGGGCTGTTACTGTCTTTGTTTCAAAGTTAAACTACAAACTGAGTTCTTCCCGAAGTTAGTTTCTCCTGCACCCAGGAATGAACAATGACAGCTTGTAGGTTAGAAGCAAAATGGAATCAGGTCAGATCTCTTTCACTGTCATAATTTTATCAGTTATGATTTTTGCAAAGGCAGTTTCACTCCCATCCCTCAACCCTTTCTGGACTCTGCCCACTTCCCACAAACCCTCTTATTCCTCACTACCCCACAGCCTCTATCTTGTGGCCTCTCCTGCCTCTCTACCACTACAGCCTAGGTGTCTTGGGACAATTCCTCTGCAGATGGATCTGGAAGTGCCTGCTCACTGACCACTGATTGATCGGTCAACGTCACAATATCACATAACCCTCTCTGGACCTCTCTTTTCCCAGATAATTGGATGTTGCCTGTCTAAAAGACCTCTGAGCCTGAGATTCTGTCCTCTGTATCTTTGCTTTAGCATACTCACCACAGCCACAAGGCAGGCATGGAACATTCTGGGCGTGATGTAGGAGAGCAAGGTTGGGGAGGGCCTCAAGCCGTGGCCTACACAGGGCACTTCTTTCGTGACCACGTGGCCCTAGCAGCTGGAGACCAGCCTGCTTGGCTCCGGCAAGTATTACAGGCCCCACACAGATTTTAAAGGCATTTCTGCCTGTCCTCTCTACATACATTTCCACAACCAGTAACAGTAATAAATCTATGCCACTCCTGACAGTTTACAAAGGGCTTTCACATATACATCTCATGTGCTCTTCCCCACAATCTTTATTGTCACCAGTTTAGCAGTGAGGGTGAGGGTGCAGCACAGATGTGAAGTGATGTGACTAATCGGTAGCACAACTTGAAGCGGAGCACAGATGGCCGATTCCTACCCCAGTGGCCTCTCCAGGATACAGCATCTCCCTCCTCCAAGATGGTCATCATCTCCTACTCCTTATGACGGGGCAGCTGGAAGAAGAGAGAGTGGCTGCCAGGGCTAGGGCTGATGATAGGATTGGTTTCACTGTGGCCAGAGCTGAGAAGGTTCTGCATACCTAGAGCTGCAGGGACCCCCAAACAGGAGAGTCCTGGGATCTTAAAGCCAGCATTCTGCTCTTCACCTGTCTCAGCCCCAGTTAAGTGCCACTTCTCTCTCTGGTGCTTCTTCTTCCAACTAGGGTACTCTGCTTAGGAGTCTGGGTCTGCCTCTCCCACCCTACCACCAGCCTCCCATGGAGTTAACTGAATTATACCTGGCCCACATTAGCCTCTCCAGCCTTACCTCAAGACTTTGCAGCTGCAATCATCACCATAAATCAGCAAGTCTTTCCATGTGTTTGATCAGATTTCTCAAACTGAGAATCTGATTGCTCCAGTCTATCTCTTAAGGCGGAACCACACAAGTCACAGGTGTGGCCAGTCTAGTAATTGGTTGCCCGTGGCTCGATCTGTGGTGGCTGGAGTGGGCATGGTCTGGTTCAGAAGTGGCCCCCAGGATGCAGGAACTCTGAGCAGAGGACTGGTCCCTGGACAATGAAGGGAGGAGGAGTGAGCATGCAGTTAACGCTTTTGTCTGGGATGCCTCCCCTGTGTCATTATCGGGTGATCCCTGCTGACCTGTCATGGCCCAGCCCAAGTGAAGCACAAAGGCTTCACTGCTTTGTGAAGCCTTCAGGGAGAATGAGCCAGTCCTCTCTCTAAGCTTCCATACATCTCTCCTCAGTTTCAGATATGTCTTCACCCCCACAAAAATATAAGATCCCAAAAGAACAGAAGTATTTTTCATCTATCTTTAATAACTCTATATGTTAATTCAAAATAGAAGCCACAATATAACTCAGTGTTTCCCAACACTGTTGTGGTGAAAACGTGTCCCATGTTCAAATAGGAGCAATGAATGTTGGGTTTTTAAATGTTGCCCAAATTTCTCCAGTCCAGGGTTTCTCAGAGCCTTTAATTTGCTAATGTACAATATGAATCTCCAAGAGTAAAATAGAATATGCAGCCTTCCCAAACTTATTCCCACAAAATAATCTTTTCATGAAGCACCAAAAACAGTTCCCAGAACCAGTGTTTTTGCAGAAAACAGTTTGGGAGATACACATGTAGCAGAAATTCCTTAGACTCAGGTGCAGGCAAGCTATAGTTCAAATTTGGCTCTGCAACCTTGGACAAGTTGCTTAACCTCTCTGGGCCTGAGTGTCTTTATCTGTTAAACAAAGATGATAATACCTACTCACAGGGTTGGTAGGAGGATAAAATGACAAACAGTGGGTCCAGTGGGACTTGCTCAGTGACTGCCTGTGAGCAGGTGCTCCGTAAATGGTCGCTGCTGGTTTCTTGGGACTCTGTCATTACTGAGTTTACTCTACAGCAGGTACTCAGGAGGTTCTGGTTCAGAAGCACAGCACCACTGAGAAGCCTAGAAGGCCCCTGAGAGCCAACAGAAACTGAGCAAGACCAGAGCCAGTGGCAGCTGTCTCTGTCCCACAGAGGTGGGGCAGGCTGACTCAGGTGCTCAGGTCAATGGAAGGATCTTCCCAGGATCTCCACATCTGCCAGTCCCCTCTCCAGATCCAATGGCCATAGGGATCACCAAGGGGCCACTAGCCTTTCACTGGCCACAACAAATGTCTGGTGGCCCAAGGCTATTCTCATGCAGCATGCAGAATAAAATAATACAGTCACTTACAATGGCCCAATTCCTTCACATTCACAAGATTTTCTTTGTGGCTTCCATCTTATCCCTTCAACCAGTCCCGATAGACCTCACATAGAATGCTCTGGAGTTATGTATCAGGATAGTTCTAATCCCAGAAACCCTGTAGGATAGACAGGACCGGGATTATTTATGCCCATTTTACACATACATAAAGTAAGACTTGGAAAGACTAAGCCAGTTGCCCAAACCTTCACCCTGAGAGCAGCAGTTTATCAGCCCTGCTTGCTAGAGATGGTTCTTGCTGATTATCCATTGCTCTCCAGGCTCTGAGCTGCCTCCCTCTACCTTGAGTGGGTAACATTCCTGTTTCAGTGATTCCTGCCTTGTGCAGGCTGAACTTCCCAGCCAGGTGTCTCCTGACCAGCCCTCACTGTAGCCATGGTGACAGGACCCAGCAGGTCCTGGTTCTACTCATCCAGTTTGGAGTCTTCCCCACAGTCGCACTGTACATTGCAGGCTGCTCTTCCCTGAGCAGGGCACATCCTAGGTTTGGTGTGTAAACCACATCTCCATCCTTCTTCCAGCTGACAGACATAGCTCCTGCCTATGAGCTGTCACCTGTCCACTCTGCACATCCTTCATACCACCTGCAGGGTGCTCCTCCAGAGCTGGAAATAATGAAAGGGGAGGCCTTTGGCCAGAGCAAGCTGCCCTGATTTTTGCACTAGAGTATTTAAAACAGCCCAGGTACAGAGGATCCCTGCTTCCTGGAAGCGGAGTTGTTTTGTGTCTAGATGAGCGTCTCTCTTCAGCCATTGCCCCCTACCGCCATGCCAACTGCCTTAGCATAATGCACTCTGATTTCCCCACTGTGACTAGCAATGGACTATTAAGCCAGTGTTGCCCCACGAATCTCAGCCTATGAGGCAGCAATCACAAACAAGCAGTTTGAAATGACTTTCCCCTGATGAGGCTACAAACAAACAGAGGCCAAAACCCAGCCTGTGGCCTATTGTCAAGAACACCAGTCAGAGCAGGGTCAAGAACAAAGTGGCAGGCTGCAACACAGGCCAGGGAAACCACTGCTTCCCAGTAATTAGGACCCAGTGAGCCCATAGAATAAGGCAGACTCTACTGTCTTCCCTGAGCCGATGGAGAGGGCGACCCTGCAACCCCTTTCAGCTGGAGTGGGGACTGAGCTAGTAATGCAGCCAACATTCATCAAGACTTACTCTGTGTTAGGCACCACTAAGAACTTGATGGACAGTAATTCATTTGCTCTTCACAAAGGCCACATGAAGAAGGTACTCTTATTATCCCCGTTGTACATTCGAGAAACTGAGTCTTAGGATAAACCACTTCCCAATCTTACGGAGCAAGTAGGTGATGGAGCCAACAGTTAAACTCAGACAGCGTGTCGTCAGAGCCACTGAAAGGTCCTGATTGAATCTGGGTCCCTTTAATGGAGAGTACTCAGTGAACACTGATAACATAATAGAGCATTGAATTAGGAGTCCGTCCTTACGATGGGAGCTGTAAATAGCAGAATGTGAGCTGCCTTCAGTTCTGCCTCATTCCTTCTATGTGATCTGCACAAGAACCAAACTGACTTCATCTCTACCTCACAGGACTATTATAAAGATTGAATTTCATAACATGTGTCAAAGTGTTTCTTAAACTATGATGCTTACCATACGAGCTGTGAGCATTTGTTGCTTTCCTATAAACAATCAGTGTCCTGCCCTCGTCCTGCTACTCACTAGCTAACTGAAATGGCCCAACTGACCTTGTGAATTGGTATTTCTAAGCTTTGGCTTTTTAAACATGGAATGACACTATTGATACAAGGCCAGCTTCTCACCTCGCTTCCTACCAACCTGTTTGTCCAAGTTGTAGAGCCTTAATGAGCTGAGCCCCTGGGTGCCCCGAGGATGCACAAATACCAAATGAACAGAAAGCATTTATTATTATGGTAATTGTGCTAAGATACCCTCTCCAGAGAGCTGTGAGCACTTTACAGACACAGTTCATTCATTCTCATAAGCAGACCCAGATGGACCACCCTGGGGGACAATCTGGCTGGGTCGAGTATGCCAAGTCAGCCTAGGAGAGATGGAGCAACTTGGGCTCACTAGGGTAGGGGCAGAATCCTACAACTCATGCATTCCACCCCTGCCCAGCCTGACACAGATCATGTTGTCTCTGAGAAGAAGCAACTCCTTCAGCCCTGTTGTCCTTGAAGACCAGTTCTCAGCCTGTATCAAGTTGATGGGAAAGGTTTTAATAAGACACAGCAAACCCCTACAGCTGTCCCTTGCAGCAAAACCCTCATGGCAGAGGTTCTTAAGGTGTAGTCCCAGAACCAGCACCAATGTAATTTGCATAATTAAAAATGCAAATTATCAAGCTCTATCCTAGATCTACTGAATCGGAAACTCCGGGGGTGTTAAGAAGCATGACTTTGATGCATGCTAAAGTTTGAGAACTACTTTCTTAGAGTAAATCCCAGTTATAGTTGCAAAGGTTATCTGTGCCTCCTGAAAGGCACTTTCTTCAGATGGAAAGAGCTAGATCGGCAGCTGCTTATTTACTGAGCAGTCAATATTCCCAGGCTGGAGAGTCCCCACCTAATACATCTCTATCATTTCATTTTACTGCCCAAGTATTCCCTGCATCTTAGGAGTGGATGGGACCATACAGCCAGTTATTTTATAATTAAAAAGAAGTGAAAGGACACAGACTTCCCAAATTCTTTGCTTGATGACACAAAGTTGGAGCTAAATCTCCCCTATGTCCTCTATGAAAGAGACCAAGGTCTCAACGGCAGACTGCTCCCAGCAGCTCAGAGTATGAGCCCTGCCACTTCCTGACCATTCACACCCCACCCCATCCAAACCAAAGGACGGCATTTAGTGGTCCTGTGCAGTGTTCCTCCAAGTGCTCATGGAAATGAGTTGGTTCACCTCCTCCATCAGCCCAGTAGCCCACCTGGAAAACCAGATTCTAGGCAGAAAGAGGGTGTCAGAGTTTCAGAGGAATGGCCAGGATCTCTCTCCTCAGGCAGGGCCAGAGACCCCACTCTTAGAATGTTCTAGGAGAAGCCCTGAACTGGCAGCCAGGAGACCACGGTTCTAGTTCCTCTCTACCTCTTACCACCCATGTGACCTTGAGCCAGTTTTCTCATCTATAAATGGGGGTGACAGTTCCATGTCATAGAGTTGTTTTCAGTATTAACTGAAATCATGTACCTTGAACTACAAAAAACGGAGAGTGCTATGCAAATAAAGATCTTTATTATTCTGAGTCGCTGCTCTTTAAAGAAGACAAGTGAGGTCAGGAAAGCAGATGGAGACCACATCTGACCATCGGGTAAGGATTTATGCGTGAAACTGTCCCACTGATTGGAATGAAGACCCAGGAAGCGTGCTGCAGAGTGCATGGCAGCTCTGGGGACTGCCTGGCTGGTCAGCTGTCCGTGCTTCATTCTTCTCCTCCTCCCAGTTCAGAGATTCTGACAGATGGACCCAGGAATTGCTTCCTGGTTCAGCCAGTGAAATGGACGCAGTGAATAATCTACAGTTTACCCCTGAGCCAGTAAATCCAAACTCTTCTGCATTGTGTCATGCCGGGATCACAATAAATCTGGCATAAGACGGGACATAAAACATATCGGTATTTAGTTGATTTGTTAATTTAACTGTCAATGGAAATCAGATGTTGAGATTCACTGTGAAACGAAGTAGCAATTTGTGCCTCTGTCAGAAATATGGGTCTACAGTGTGATTCAGAAACCTCGCCCCAGCCTGGTGGGCATTTCGGGGATGCTGGTGGCCCTGAGAGATGCCAACAGCTTGGTGGCCCAGGCCTGGGTAAGGTCTGTCTCCCCATCCCCATGGCTGTCCACACTTGGACCAGCCCTGATTCTGCAGGATGCTGTAGGGAGTGGGTCAGGGGTGTGAATGAGCTGTGGATCTCTGAAAATAAAGCAGACTGCATTCAATTGGTACCTTCCTGTGGATCTTTTTTTCCCCTCTGAAAATAGACGCAATCCTCACCCTGCCTGCTTCCTGGATTGATTGAGAGAAACTAATGAGATAGTGGACATGAAAGGGCTTGGAAGAGTTTTGTGAATAGAAATACAGGTCATGTATTGGAATAGAAACAGGGTGAATTGGGGTCGTCAGAATGTAAGCATCAGCCTAGGAAGGAAAAAGAAGGACTGACTCACTCATGCTTCTTTTAGAGAAATTTACTTCCTTTTTTTGATTGTAAAAGTTATATATGTCCATTATAGGACACAGAAATTCAGAAAGGTTTAGAAAAGAGAGCTCAAAGCATTCATAATCCTCTCCCTTAGAGATAACTATGGTTAACAATTTGACATACATTCCTTCTAGTTTTCCTTTCTGTGTATATAAATGGATTTTGCTATGCTGTTCCAACAGTCTTAGATACAGGTGCATTGGGCTTGTTTGGTTGGCTGGTTGGTTTTCTTTTTAGTTAATTTATTATGAAAATTTTCTCATGTTAATAAGGGTTCTTCAAAAACACCCTTGTGTGACACAGGGGTACGAGCTTTTATTACTGTTTCCCTGTCTGTGGGGATGTTGTTTCTTTGTTTTTGCTTTCATGGTATTATAATCTGCTATGAGTTTTTTTAGATCTAAGCGTCTGATAACTCTATTTCCTCAAGGAAGTTTCCTAAAAGTGGAACCTTGGGGTTCAAAGGTCTTAAATACAAAGTTTTTAAGGTTCTTAAAACATACTGCCAAACTTTTCTAGAAAAGTTCTCCCAGTTCACCTTCTCACCAGCAGTATGTAAGAGTCCCTAACTCACTACATCCTTGCTAGGACTGAGTATTATTTTTATTTATTTATTTATTTATTTATTTATTTATTTATTTATTTAAATTAAGACAGGGTCTCACACTCAGTCACCCAGGCTGGATTGCAGTGCTGAGATCACAACTCACTACAGGCTCGACCTTCTGAGGAGAACTCCCAGGCTCAGGTGATCCTCCCACCTCAGCCTCCCAGGTAGCTAGGACTACAGACGTGTGCCACCATGCCCAGCTAATTTTTTTGTATTTTTAGTAGAGACAAGGTTTTACTATGTTGCCCAGGCTGGTCTCAAACTCCTAGGCACAAGACATCTGCCTGCCTAGGACTTCCAAAGTGCTGGGATTACAGATGTGAGCCACTGCGCCCGGCCTGGGTATTATTTTCAAGTCTTTGCTAATTTGATGAAGCTATTTTGTGCAAAAGCTATTTCAGTTTCTGCCATTAAAAGTAAAAATAATGGCAAAAACCAAAATAGCTTTTGCACCAACCTAATAAAATGTTTGAATCTGACCATCACTTCACACAGCTCATACTAAAGTCACACAGACAAGTCACTATTCCCTGAGCATGGCATCATCTGTTCCTGGAGTTCCCTTATCTTTTCTCTTTTGTTTAGAATTCTTACCCACTCTTTGAGGATAACTCAAGTGTTATCTCTTTCCTAGAGCCTTCTTTTGCCCCCTGGCTGGACACTCCTTCTCTGTGTGCCTATCATTCAGACATCCCAGTTATCTATTTCTGAGCAACAAATACTCCAGAGCATAGTAGCAAAAACAACAACCATTTTATCATTTTTCACAATTGTGTGGGACAAGAATTTGGGCAGGTAACTTTTTCATGCCACATGGCATTGACAGGTCATGCATTGGATTCAGCTGGCAGATCAAGAGGTGTGTGGGCTCCAGGATGGCTTTGCTTGCATGTCTGCTGCCTTGAAAATGATGGCAGGAGGGCTGAGCTCAACTGGGACTATCGCCAGAGTGCCTACACCTGACCTCTCTAGCATGGTAGCCTTGAGGGAGTCAAACTTCTTACATGCATGCCCCAGGCTCCAAGGCCAGATGTATCCATGACCAAGGAGGACGCTGCACAGTCTTTATGATCTAGCCTCAAAAGTTATGTGGTGGCTTCCATCATATGCTGTTAGTCCAAGCAGTCATGAGCCTGCCCGACTCATGAGAAGAATACCAAAGTCTCCATCTCTCCATAGTCCTCTCGAGAGGATTTTTAAAGAATTTGCAGTTAAGTTTTGAAACAGCCAAAACACACACCTATTTTAGCACTTATTGTATTTTTATTATTAATTGCCAAAATATCTGTCCTAGTATACAGGATGGCCTGAAGATTGTCATCCACATTTTCCTCATTGTCTACTATTTATTGAATACCTACTATGTAGGAGACACTTGTGCCCCTGTCACTTGGCCAGTCAGTCCAAGACCTGTGGGCATGAATGTTTCCTCTAGGTGTCCTCAGAGATTTTTCCCATCAAGTCTTGTCTGTTTTCTCACCTTTTTTCCCTAAATGAAATTGTAGACTCTGCTTAGTAGCTCTTCACTCTAGAGAATATAGTACCTGGCAGAATCCCCCTGGTGTTTGAGAAAGACTTGTAAAAGTGGAAATGGAGTCCTGTGTACCTGGGGACCTGCCAGTCTGAAGCAGCCCTTTGTGCCATCTGCCTGTACTTCGTAGCAAGATTGAGGGCTGAGAGGATTCTAGCTGAGCTGAGAGTCTCCCCATATGCTTTCCAAATTGTCATCCACATGTATCACCATTACCAGACCCTCCCCTAACACTTTCTTCCTGCACATGGAAACTCATCTCCATTGTTCCCTGCTGCTGGCTGAGACCTTGAACCACAGCGCAGGGAGAAACATCCCTCAGAGCTCACCTGGTCCAACCCCATCATTTCATAAATAAGCGGACTGAGGCTGAGAGGCTAATGCCAGGTTTAAGATCACTCAGGTGGCCTGGTGCGGTGGCTCATGCCTATCATCTCAACACTTTGGGAGGCTAAAGCAGGAGGATTGCTTGAGCCCAGGAGTTCAAGATCAGACTGGGCAAAATAGGGAGACCCCATCTCTAAATTTTTTTTTTTTTTTTTACTTAGCCAGATGCAGTGACACACACCTGTGATCCAGGCTACTTGGGAGACTGAGATGGGAGGATCACTTGAGCCCAGGAGGCTGAAGCTGCTGTGAGCCATGATCGTGCCACTGCACTCCAGCCTGGATGACAGAATGAGACCCTGTCTCAAAAAAAAAAAAAAAAATTTTTAAATTTTAAAAAAAAGATCGGCCAGGCACGGTGGCTCATGCCTGTAATCTCAGCCCTTAGGGAGGCCAAGGTGGGTGGATCACGAGGTCAGGAGATCGAGACCATCCTGGCTAACATGGTGAAACCCCATCTCTACTAAAAAAAAATAAGAAAAATTAGCTGGGCATGGTGGCAGGAGCCTGTAGTTCCAGCTACTCGGGAGGCTGAGGCAGGAGAATGGCACGAACCCAGGAGGCAGAGCTTGCAGCGGGCAGAGATCGCGCCACTGCACTCCAGCCTGGGCAACAGAGCGAGACTCCATATCAAAAAAAAAAAAAAAAAAAAAAAGATCACTGAGCACACAGCCGTGTCGGGTTAGCTCAGAGGCTTCGTCACTGCCAGGGCACTGTAGTTCCAGCTATATCCAGTGCCTCACACACCGGTAGATTCCACTGGAAACCAAACAGAAAGGGGATTTAAAAGAAGAAAGAGAAGAGCCTGAACTCTGCATGGGGCCTCAGCCACAGGCTTTTCTCAGTAGGCCACACTGACTTCCCCCTGTCCTACAGTCTTCATTAGGGCTTATTTTCAAGGCCAGGATAATCAGTCATCTTTCAAATTGCTCTAAAATATAACATAAAATTTACCATCTTAACCATATCTATGTGTGCAGTTCAGTAATGTTTAAGTATATTCAACATTACTGTGCAACCAATTTTCAGAACTTTTTTAACTTCCCAAACTGAAATTTCATACCCATTAAACAGCTCCCTATTCCTCCCTCTCCCCAGACCCTGTAACCACCATTCTACCTGCTGTCTGTATGGATTTCACTACACAAGGTATCTCATGTAAGTGAAATGGCACATTTGTCTTTTTGAAACTGGCTTATTTCACTTAGCATAGTGTCTTCAAGGTTCATCCATATGGAAGCATGTGTTAGAATTTATTTCCTTTTCAAAGCTGAATTGAGGAACAACTATATTGTTTTCCATATCAGCCACACCATTTTACATTCCCACCAACAACACACAAGGGTTCAAATTTCTCTATATCTTTGCCAACACTCATTATTTTCTATTTCTATTTTTTTATAGTAACCATACCAAATCAGTCATCTTCTTGTATATTTCGGTCATATTCATTGAAGGAATCAAGTGAAAGATAACACATTCAAAAAATGCCCAATACATAGTAGGCTGAATATTATTTTCGTTGTTGTTATTTATCCTTCCTGCCTGCCTATCATCCAGTTTTCCTTCTTCATTAGGTTTCTCCCAATCTTGTGGTTCTGAGAAGTTCAGACCCTCACATGAGAGGCTTAGAAAAGAACTAAAAACTAAAAAATACAAAGAGGTTCTTGACTCCTAGCCATAGCAAGTGATCTTCATCTTTTCATAGGGGACTCTACCCGTTTCCAGGTTTCTTTGCCTGAACTGTACCTATCAAATTTGATAACACCAAACCTTCTTACATTTCCTCCAAGGACACCCTGCTTCCTCTCCCCCCTAGCTGGAAGAATGGCCCATCCACTGCACACTGCTAGGTTGGAGTCTGTTTTGCACTTGGCTTTGTGCCTAGAATGGGAAGCACTTTTTTTTTGAGAGATGGAGTCTTGCTCTGTTGTCCAGGCTGGAATGCAAAAGCACAATCATAGCTCACTGCAGACTCAACCTCCTGCAGTGAAGGCTAAAGCGATCCTCCCTCCTTAGCCTTCCAAGTAGCTAATACTACAGGCACATGCCACTGGGCCCAGCTGGGAAGCCCTTGCTGACTGTCTCCCAGCCTCTCGCTACTCACTGTGAATCAGCCATCACTCTCCTCCATGTATGGTGGCTCCCAGCAGCCCATGCCAGTTGCAGTTTCATCAGCTTCCCAGTCCATGACCCATTGCAGGTATGAGTGGGCAGCCATCATCCTGAATGGAGTTGGCAGCACTGAGCAAGTTCTTTAGACACAGAGAAGGACATGATCACTACAAGGAGCCTTCTACATGATTTGCTTTTTATGTGAACAAATGCCAGCTTTGTACACACATAGCCACAGGAGTTGGGGCTATGTGGAAGTCCTCTGAAATACTAATTTTATATTATGAACAAAGCATAAACCCTGCTTCTGAATCCATTACCCAAAATTATTTATTAAAAAGCATTATTCACTTATTCTTTCAAGAAACTTTTATTGTGATTCCCAGGTGCTAGGTGTTGTTCTAGGCACTGGGGATTCAGCAGTGAAACACACGCTAAGTTCTCCATCCCCTGAGTGCTAGTCAGGCAGACAGACTACCAACAACACTAATAAGAAAGGTGTATATTGCTCAGTTATACAGGTAGCAAGGAAAGGAGAGACGATGTATCTGTGATTTGGATTAGAGGCCAAGGCAGAGATTTTAGATAAAGCCACCAGGGAAGGCCTTGCTGAGAAGGTAACGTTTCAGTAAAGATGGAGGTGTGGAAGCCTCTTATGGGTTTATCATGTGTAAATGTCAGATGGTTAATATTAAAAATGAAATCTTAATCATTTTCTAGCACTAGGTGGTTTACAAAGTACTTTCCAAATAAAATAACGCTCATAAAGCCTTGAGTACAGGACCTAGAACATTGTAAGCACTCAATCAGTGGTGAGGGTGGAAGCTATTGCTATGATGATTGACAGTGGCATCAGCACCCGGTGGCTATCTTGTCTCTTTAGAAAGTAGCCAGCCCTTCTACTGTGGCTACCGTGGATGTCATGGGGGCAGGATGACCTCCTGCGTAGCTTTAAGAGGGCTGAATCCACCCGGCTCCCTTCATTGGAGGTGTCTCAAGGGGCCACTACCCATGATCAGGTGCTCCTGTCTTTATTCCTCCAGCCTGAATGAGCCCTCCTTCCCTTTGCTCTCATTCCAAGCAGCTTTCTCTGCTGCAGAATCTAAAGCCTGGTCCCTGCAGTAGTCTCAGTAGTAGCTATAATTTGTTTATGATTAGTACTAGTTCTCCAAGGTACAGTTGAAATTGCATTGTTTACTGAACAAACAAGAGGAGAAAATGACATATTTTACGGGGAGGTATGGTGCAGAATGGTTACATGCAACCCCTTTGCAGGGAGATTAATGGCAAAATAGACACAGAGGTCATTTATAATATTACAGATGAAATTATTGGTGTGTGTTTTCAGCAAAGCAATGAAGATAAATGTTGAATAGGAAAACCTTAGGAAAGGATCACACAACAAAATAAAGGGGCTATGGAGACTACAAAAGAATAAGAAAATTTTTAATTCCTTCGGAGAACCCGACCACAAAAATGAAACGCACTCTGCCTTCCTGCGGGTGGCCTACAGGAATCTTGGCGGTTCTCAGTAAATCTATACGGAGACTGACTTTGTCCTAGGATTTGGAAGTTGGAAACCAGCCCTCATAGGCTCTGTCATGTCAGACAGCCCTGGTCCCACCCTAGTGCCATCCTTTATGTTGTCCTCTCTCACCATCACCTCGGGCCCCCTGCCAGTCCTATCAGGGTCTCCTTCGTATCCACTCACCTCCCTCCATCTCTATGTCACCAGCCTCATTCAAGCTGCCTCCGTGACTTGCTTGGTCGGTTACAACAGCAGCCTGCCAAGTGGTTTGCCCACTTCCATTTTCTCTCCATCCATTCTTCCGGAATCACTCAGAATGATCTTTCTAAAGACTTAGATTTTTTTCAGTTTCTTGTCTAAACTCCTTAAATAAGGTCCATGCTCCTTGCCACGGCCCACAGGGTCCTGCCTGGTTGGGCCTTGGCCTCCCTCCGCAGCCACCCCTCATAACCCTCTGTGACCATCTGTGACCCTCTTGAGACGTACTGGCCTCAGCTCTGCTTCTAGATCAGGAACATCCTTTCACACCCCCAGCCTTGCAGTTTCCGCTCCTCCACAGCCTTTTTCATGGCTGATTCTCTCTCATCCTTCACTATCAGCTCACATATCACCTCCACAGAGAAGACACATCACTTTTTTTTTTTTTTGAGATAGAGTCTCGCCCTGTCACCCAGGCTGGAGTGCAGTGGCGTGATCTGAGTTCACTGCAACCTCCGCCTCCTGGGTTCAAGCTATTCTCCTGCCTCAGCCTCACAAGTAGCTGGGACTACAGGTACATGCCACCACATCTGGCTAATTATTGTATTTTTAGTAGAGACAGGGTTTCGCCATGTTGGCCAGGCTGGTCTTGAACTCCCCACCTCAGGTGATCCGCCCGCCTCAGCCTCCCAAAGTGCTGGGATTACAGGTGTGAGACACCACACCTGCCATGTTGCTCTTTCTTCACCACTGTCACCCCAGTGCTGGGCACATTGTAGAAGCTCAAAGATTGAAATGGAGACTGGGGAAGGTGGGTGCAATTTCTGCAGTGCAACCCAAAGGAATGAGTAATTCCTAGCAGAATGCAAGGAAACCCCACCTCACGACATTCTTCTACTGAAACTCGGTGATCTGGTTTGTATTATTTGACTACATACATTAGCACTTGCTATGTGACAGGCACTCTTGAGGAGACTGAATAAGTGACATGGACTCCCTGCCTCAAGGAATTTAGAATTTAGTGGGAGAAGCTGGCAATGCAGATATAAACACACAATAAAGTGAGGCAAGGCACAGCCAAAGGTATGCATCAGCACCCCAGAGGGAGATGCGTGTCTTTCTTCAAGAGAGAAGAGCAAGCAGTTGGGGAAAGTGGCATCCAAATTAGCAGGAATTGTTGAGATCAAGATGATTCTAGACAACGGAACAAAGTTACACAAAGGCTGTAAGGAACTGCACATCCCGATGTTTAGCTAAAGATGTGAAGGGACATGGCAGAGCTGGGATTTGGACTGAATGCTACAGAAACCAGCAAAGGTTTATGGTAAGATTAGGACCAAAAAGGAGCTGACCTCAGAAAGCTGACTCTGGTGGTGAGGTGACTCCAGAGACAACTAATGCTGAAAACCCATCATTGCAAGTATAATTTTTCATAGCTATTATTTATGTTGGAAATGACTCTTGCATTTGTTTCAGTTATTGTTTTGCTGCAAGGATCTAACAGAGCCTTATCTCTACTGTGTGACATGAGGACACCCAAAGGTTCTCTCTGTCCCAAGATCTGGCCTCTGTAACCCCCTCACTGACCCCCTTCCCATCCACCCTCCATAGCTGGTCCTCTCAAAGTCCTTAGGATAGTCTCTGAAGTTAGCCCATAATAAGAACCCATGTATTCTGTTATGTCCACATGATTTCGTTTCATCCTCACATAAATCTTGTACATTAGGCAGCATCCCCAATTTATAGAAAACTGCAAGCTATGTCAGCATTCACCCCACTAGCTAGTAGAAGATGGGGGCTGGAGCCTAGTATTATTTTCTCTATACCTTAGGCAGCTCATCAACACAAACTGAACAAAGTGGGTCCTTGGGCCTGCAAGAGTATTCACAGACATGGAAACTAGGGGCGAAAGGCGCTCTTGAGAATACTGGACCAAGGAGAAAATCCTTGCAATGAGACGGTGGGGGTGGTGAGAAGTGCTGGAGGTCTTGGAATTCCTCTGCGAGGAGAAGGAACTAAAGATCCATTTCTCAGGCACCAGAGGTTCTCAGACTTGGCTGTACTCAATTATCACCCAGAGAGCCTGTGGCACCTGCTTTTTCCAAGCTCCCCACCCAGATCCTCTGATTCTATAGGACTGAAGTCAGGCCCAGGAAGCTCCTGCGTGGTTCTGATATAGGCGTGTGTGGACACACCATTAATGCAACAGCCTAAGCCCATGGCAACTATGAATGGCTGGCTTTAGAGGGTTTACAAACAAGGAAACTGAGGCCCAGAGAGAAAGAGACTTGTTCATGGTCCCAGAGGGCTGATGGCAAGGCTAGGCCTCAAACTAACTCTCCCACTTCCCGGAATCATGATTTCTTACCCAGCCCACCAGCAGCCATCCATAGCAAGACCCGCTCCTCGCTGATTTACATTTTGAGTCATAGAAACCCAAGATGCCAGCTCTTTAATGAGGTTGTCCACACTACAACTGAGGAGGCCCAAAGCCCTCAGCAGGACTGGTCTCTGCCAGGCTTAATTTACACAGTTCTCAGGCCTTCTAATACCCCCATTAACGTCAGAAAG
Source organism: Homo sapiens (assembly GCF_000001405.40). Classification (NCBI taxonomy): domain Eukaryota; kingdom Metazoa; phylum Chordata; class Mammalia; order Primates; family Hominidae; genus Homo; species Homo sapiens. Next base: position 29,337,120 of record NC_000002.12, on the reverse strand, counting down.
GAATCTGCAGCTGTTAGTCTGTGCACTCGACTACATTCTCATCATGTCACCATCCATTTTCATGTCTTGAGGCTGTTGAGAGCCTGATTTTCCTAGTCCAGATCATGGCCCAGTCCCCTAGACTCCAGCTCCAGCCCCAGGTTTGACCTGAGTCCCCTAGACACCAGGTTCCCCCACGTGTCGTCTCCCCTCACTTTAATTGAAGAGCAAGACCCCCTTCTCACTGAAGCAGCACTCAAATTTCCTCCTTTAACGAGTGTCATTAGTTAGGCAAGAGCAAGCAGGTAGGAGATGGCCAGAAAGCTGATAGAAATGTGCCTTTTTAAAATGACACATAAATCACCCTAATTAAAAATTAAGCGCCCTAAAATGTGGCATTCGTTTAAAAAAAGAAATTTGCGTTAGGAGAGTTGTGTAGGTTTTGTAGCATCAAATCTCTAAAACACGATTGAAAGAGCAGAGGATGCATGGGTTTCTGTTTCGAATGCATAATTAGGGAAGAGGCATCATTCTCAGTGAGTGAACCCAATAAATCACCTGTGGTGTAGAACAGGAATTCATGTAACCTGACCTGGGCCACATGTGTCTCCAGTGCAAATCTGAACTAATTTCTACTATATCCAGAGAGGAGATAAATGGGCAAACAAATGTGGCCTGCTGCTTCAGGAGAGATGTTCCAGGATGCAAGTGACAGATGACTGAGACAGGAAATCCCACTGAGAGGCAAGTTTGCTGGGTGTGTGGCTTTGGAAAGATGCCCTGGAAGGGAGAAGGCTTCAGGGGAGAGTCATTAACAACAGCCAGCATTAATAAAGTCGACACTAACTCTATCCAATCAACCTCATAAACATGCAACCACCAACAGCTACTGCCCAGAACAGGACATCAGAGAAGGAAGGGACCTTCGAGGCAGGATTTGAGATCAACAGTGAAGATAGTAAAGGTGAAGAACCCATCCCTGATACAGAGGCATCTCAGCCCAAGATCTCCAGGCCTCCAAGGAAATGATACTCAACCATATGCCCCTGAGAATTGCCTGAGGAACAGTTTGTTGTTGTTGTTGTTGTTTGTTTGTTTGTTTTTTGAGACAGTCTCACTTTGTCACCAGGCTGTAGTGCAATGGCATGATCTCGGCTCACTGCAACCTCCGCCTCCCAGGTTCAAGGGATCTCCTGCCTCAGCCCTCCCAAGTAGCTGTGATTACAGGTGTCCATGACCACGCCCAGCTAATTTTTGTATTTTTAGTAGAGATGGGGTTTCACTATGTTGGTCAGGCTGGTCTTGAACTCCTGACCACAAGCAATCCACCTACCTCAGCCCACCAAAGTGCTGCGATTACAGGTGTAAGCCACGGCACCCAGAAATTTTAAAACCACCAGTGCCAAGAGTCTATCCTCCAGAGATACTGATTTCATTGGCCTGAACATCAAAAATATTCCTTACTTCCCAAGTGACTCCCATGGGCAGTCAGGGAGCCTCTCCTAGAAGACAATTTAATCTGAGTCATGGGAGAGGAACTCGAGCTCGGATCATCTCACCAGGTCTTGGGCCCCTATCTGTGGTTTACTAGCTGTGAGACCACTTGCAAAGTACCCAGTAAGTCACTGGTTACCTTCTGTAGTTCTTTGTTGTCTAAAAATCATTTCTCTGTGCATTGTGTAGGCTCTCACATCCTCAGTCTTCTGATTAATCAAATGAGCATATTACTAACGGTCCTTCCAGTTTTTATGAGATTCAAACGAAGGGTAAAGAAAACACATTGTAAGCTATTAAAATGCTATATAAAGGTAACCCCCTGTGATTTACATTGTTAGTCTGGGGGAAGTGCCATTTCAAAGGCTAATATGTAAATTCCCGTAGAAAGGACCCTCACTAATAAAAGATCCCCAAGCACCGACTCTTCCCAGAGTGGCTTGATCTCAGATCTCCCTTACTTTTGCCTATTAGGGCATTTAGGTGTTTCAGTGGTTACCAGGAACCACATGGGCAGAAGGCATCAGAAGTGTCAATGGGAAACAGGAGCTGGCTTTTCACGTCTAAGCCACTGCCCTTCCTCGTTGCTCTGCAGGCTGTGGCCAGCCGGGGCCTCAGGATACTCTACACCGCAGGCCAGAACAATCATTTTATAACCACAGAGAAGATGCTGTTTGGGAACTCAGGCCCTTGATTAAAATCATTCACCAAGGATACATTCCTTCTTGGAATTTATGGGCCCCATAAAAAACAGAACTTGAGAAGACAGAGCGTTGTTTTTTGTTGTGCCTCGTTAGTTTGGGGCTTGGGCTGGCAGTAGAGATCACAGTACCAGGCGTCCATCTAATTGACTCTTCTGCAAGCACAAAGCTCCCTGTGGGACAGAGAAGGCCGTGCCAGGGAGCCTGGAAATCTCCATTCGGGGAAGGAGACTGGGCGGAGTTGGTAGCAGTGCTGAAAACGTAGGCACCTCTGGGCTGCTGCTGTGCTTCCACCCAGGAAGACAGGTCCTGGGGACAAAATCCAGGGCATCAGAGAGTGGAAGCCACACTGGCTCCTGCTCCTGGACCTCCTCCTTTGTCAAGGTGTGTGGGTGAAGGGCAGGGATGCTGACAGCCTGACCTTCCATGCCCACCATTACCACTCCTTGGAGGCCGCATAAAGAATAGAGAACAAGGGATCTAAATCAGTGGGTTTCCATCAGTCTCTCAGCCAGCCACTAACCACTCGGAGCTTTGGTATTCTCAACTATCAAATGGACATAATGAGACCTTCCCCAGCTAATACACAGGATGAGTTCAATTCCCAAATAGGGAGAATTTAGATCTTTATACCAGACACTGTCTGAGGCTCTTGAAGGTGAGACTTGACACCTCCCCCTTCAAGTCACTTGCAGCTGGATGAGGAAGTCAGGCATACAAGCCATAGTAATGATATGTAGCAGTGTCTACCACATTAATTGTAAGAAGAAGTAATGTACCCAAGGGAAAGGGACATTCATGGAGGGGAGAATCCATGAAAATGGCACAGATGAGGTGGTGAGATCTAGATCCCCAGGGCCGAAAGAGGAAGAGTTGGTGGAAGGTGTCCCCAGAGGAGAGGGGAAGCCAAAGATTCCAAAGGATAACCCACATGTGACCTACTGATCCCACATGGAACAAACTCAGTAAGCATCCATACAGAAGAGGAAATCACCAAGGAAAATATGAATAGGGAGGCATCACATGAAAATTTCAGGCTGGGTGCAGTGGCTCACACCTCTAATCCCAGCACTTCAGGAGGCTGAGGCAGGAGGATTGCTTGAGATCAGGAATTCGAGACCAGCCTGAGCAACATGGTGAAACCCCATCTCTCCAAAAAAAAGGCAGCCAGGCATGGTGCTGCACACCTCTATTCCCAGCTATTTAAAAGGCTGAGGTGGAAGAATCACCCGAGGTCGGGAAGGTCAAGGCTAGGACGAGCCAAGGTTGCGCCATGACGCTCCAACCTAGGTGACAGAGACCCTGTCTCAGAAAATTTAAAATGCCTGTTTATCAAAATACATTATAAACAGAATGAAAATATACATAAAATACTGGGAAAAATTGTCACGCATATGATAAATAGTTTTGCATCCTTATTAATGACCTCATACAACTCAGTATGAAAACAGGAAGAACCTAATCGATACGTTGGCAATTCCCTAAAAAATAAATTTGGAAAGAAAAAAAAGCTAGTAATGTGAGAAAAAATTCAACCTCGAGGCTGGGCACGATAGCTTATGCCTGTATTTGGGAGGCCAAGGTGGGCGGATCACTTGAAGCCAGGAGTTCAAGACCAGCCTGGCCAACATGGCGAAACCTCGTCTCTACTAAAAATACAAAAATTAGCCAGGCATGGTGGCAGGCACCTGTAATCCCAGCTGCCTGGGAGGCTGAGGCAGGAGAATCACTTCAACCCAGGAGGCGGAGGTTGCCGTGAGCTGAGATTGCACCACGGCACTCCAGCCTAGGCCACAGAGTGAGACTCTGCCTCAAAAAAAAACAAAAAAACAAAAAAACCCAACTTCACTGGCTATCAAAGAAATCCAAAATAAAACAGCAGAGGGATACCTTTAGTTAAAAATAAAAATTCTGGTAAAACTCAGGGTTGGCCAGGAGGTAGTATGAGGGATGTGCCTGTATGAACACAGCTGGTGAAGAGTGTAAATTGGATTAACTTCTAGAAAGCAATTTGGCAATCTGTATTAAGAGCCTTTAAAATGTTTATACCTTTTGATTCAGTAATTCCACTTCTGGGAATCTATCCTATGAAAATAATCTGCAGTGCAGGCAAAGGTTTACGCTCAAAGATATTCTTCAAAGCGTCATCATAAACAGACTAGCAGCCCAATCATTGAATAATGTTTAAATAAATGATGGGACATATTGCACAATATTGTAGCCATTAAAAAGGATTTTTATGGGAAAATTTTAAAACCTTTGGAAAAGCTTGTGATACAACCTAAATTATTTTAAGGCCTATATGTATGACACAACTATACATACTTATAAAGCATGGGCAGAAGAAACTAAACCAAAGAGAAATCTACCAAGATGTTAAAAATGGTGGCCTCTGGGTGGTGGGATTCTGGGCATTTTCTTTGTTTCTTTTGACCCTGCTTTTGAACTTCAGACAATTGGATTCTGTTTTTAGAATGAAGGAAAGTAAAAGAAGCTGTAAGACCTCTTTGAGGAATGACAGGTGATTGGTGTGTGAAACACCCATGCCCATTGGGACATAAGGTGTGGATGAAACAGACATAGCCTAGATTTGTTCAGGAGGTTGAGGGAGACCTCATAGACTTTTTTTTTTTTTTTTTTTTTTTTTTTTTTTTTTTTTTTGAGATGGAGTCTCACTCTGTCTCCTAGGCTGGAGTACAATGGTGCGGTCTTGGCTCACTGCAACCTCCGCCTCCCTGGTTCAAGCGGTTCTCCTGCCTCAGTCTCCAAAGTAGCTGGGACTACAGGCACGTGCCATCACACCCGGCTAATTTTTTGTATTTTTAGTAGAGACGGGGTTTCACCATGTTAGCCCAGATGGTCTTGATCTCCTGACCTTGTGATCTGCCCACCTCAGCCTCCCAAAGTCCTGGGATTACAGGTGTGAGCTACCACGCCTGGCTGATTTTTAAGTTCACTTATGTTTTCTGTGGCAGGGCTGGGAGTGAGGGTAATAAGGTCTTAACTATATTTAATGGTCTCCTGTGGTAAGGCATAAGAAAAAGTGATTTGGAAACAAAATCACCAAGCAAATGTGAGAACTTTTCTTGTTATCCTAAATACCTGTGCCTTGAAAGAGGGGCAAAGAGGACACTGGCCTTCCCCATTTTCTCCTACTAAGTAGAAAGAATAGAACTCCCTGTCCTGGTTGTTACAAGTTTAGTGAGCAAGCAGGTGCTGCTTCTGGGGTGCTCTCGACTCCTGGGACACAGCCCCGTCAGCTCCCCAGGCAAGGGGGCATCTTCTCCCACTGTTTTAGGGAGACCACACCTTCCGTGGGACCAGCACCAGTGTGTGCAGAAAGGCGTTTTACCTTCTAGCTTCCAAGAGGACATGAATGATAGGTAAAGAATTGATGCCCAAAATTAAAGCTGCAAAATGAATTTGACATTTTACATCCTAAAATGAGCATTGTATCTCGTTCTCCTGTTCCCTCTGTACTTTGATCCTGTGTGTTTGTCTGAGAATATGGCCTCCATACAGTGGGGGATTGATTCCAGGACCCCCAAATCTGCACAGGCCCAGTCAGCCCTGCCAAACCCAAAAATATTGTATTTTCCATCCGTGTTGGGTGAGATCCATGTATAAGTGGGTCCAAACCTGTATTGTTCAAGGGTAATTTTTTGTTGTGCATTTTCCTGCACTTAGAATCTATAAGTTATCTGGGGAAACCTTGCTTAGGCTATCTTGAGGCCCAGGAACGAATGGAGTGGTGTTTTTCCTTCTGTGTGAGTAAGAAAAAGGTAGAGATGAATAGTCCAGGGGACCACAAAGGTCTAGTCACAAAAACAAATTAGAGCACTGAGAAGTGGATCTAAATCTACTCTGGGCTCCCAGTGATGGGAGCCTCGGCTGTCTGGGATTTCAGCGGGAGTCAGGTTTCGATGGAGTGTTCATTCTCTATTGCTGCTGTAAAAACTACCACGAACGTAATAGAGCAACATGAATTTGTTCTTTTACAGTTCTGGAGGGCAGAAGTATGAAATTAGTTTCACTGGACTAAAGTCATGTCAGGCAGGCCAGGTTCCTCCTGGAGGCTTTAGGAGAATCGCTTCCTTGACTTTTCCAGCTTTCAGAGGCTGCCAGCACCCTTTGGCTTGTGACCCCTTCCTCCCACTACTCCAAACGCTTGCTTCCACCCTCATAGTCCCCTACTTCTTACTTTGACTGTCTTGTCTGGTGATCACATTGCCCATACCCCCCAACCCTAGATATTCCAGGTTAATATCTCCAGCTAAAGATTCTTAATCACAGCAGCAAAGCCTCTTTTACCACATAGGTAACATTTTCACGGGCCCCAGGGATTCGGATGTGTCTATTTGGGGGTCTGCTATTCCGCCTACTGAAGATAGGTAACCTAATGTGCAGGCATTCATGAACCCTCCTAGGGGCCAGGCACTGGCTAGGCCTGGGGTGAACGCCAAGCTCACACAACTTGATGAAGATGATGGGATTGTGCACAAGCGTTCTGGAGGCAGGTTGCATGGAAGCAGCAGCTCCCCAAATGGAGGTGGGGAGGAAGGTGTGAGGATTGTGCCAGGCAGTGTCTGTGAGCTGGACCTGGACGGACGGCAGGATTTCAATCAGCAGAGTATGGGGTGCATCATCACACAACCATCACATGACCATGTTCATCGCCCTCTGGGAGCCTGCAGCACAGAGTCCATGAGCAGAGGCAGAGGGAGAGGCAAAGCAACTTAGGCCCAGATCACAGGGACCTTGAAGAGCAGGTGAAAGGGCTCAGATATGATTCCCTGGAAGGAGGTGGGATCTGTTTTCCCATTACTAGTATTTGCAGAGAATGCCCAGTAGGAGGCAGGGTGGACAATGCTGGGTGGCCGTGTGCTGTCATCTGACAAACTCTGCCTTATCTGGACTACCCTAGAAAAGAGGGCACAAGGCCACCTCCAGCATCTCCTTCCGTGAGATGGAGAGGGCACCTTTACAGTCAGAGAAGCTGGGTGTGAATCCCACATACCAGGTGTGGGGCCTGAGATAAGTCACTGAACCTCTCTGACCTCAGTTTTCCCACTTAGGAAATGGACATCATTAAGACCTGTCTAGTTTCCTCACAGGGCCAGATGTGCTAAAGTAGATGGAGAAATTCCAGAAGTAAACAAGCTGGGCTTCATGTTAGTTTCAGTGCTATTAGGAAGAGTCCTTTGAACCAGGAAATCATGGACTTTTAGATATTAAAGATCACCTAACCTGGAGAGTACCTCATCAGAATCAGTTGAGTTTGATTTGCAGCCAGAGTTGGAAAGGCCCCACCCCCATGTGAGGCTCAGAGAGGCTGGGGGACTTAGCCAAGTGGGGTCCTAGTTCATCTTCCCCCACTGCCCTGAGCACTGAGATGGGTTTAGCACCAGCTATGACCAGGATAGAGCTAGAAAACAAGGCAGAGAGTAAGGCAGGCTCACTCGGGGTGTTGACCCAGGTGAGCCCTACCTGCTCATCTCCACAGGGGCCAGAGTCTCCCCATCTGACATCAGCCAAGAACTGAGTAGCAGGAGGCACCAGCCAGGCCTTGTGAGGTGGTCCCCAGGCAAAGCCCTCCATTTGGTCAGGGAGGCTAAGCCAGACCAGCCTTCTCCTTCCTGTTGTCTGAATCTCTGGGGCCTGCAAAGATGTGAGTGGTCACAGGTTAATTCATTATCAAAATGCATTGTTCTTAATCCAGAAACTGATAACTCTGTATGTTCATTATAAACTGCCCCCATCCCTTCCCCCTCTGGATAAAATTAATTATCTAGGAATTTCAGACTAGAGCAAACCTTAGCAATCTAATAGAAATCCCTCCTTTGATAGAGGATGGGACAGGGGCCACACAGAGAAGGGACATGGTCAGCCTCATACAGCCAGGCAGGAGGATCCAAGTCCAGATCTGAGGCCCAGGCTTGCATGATGGTGTTCTTTGCATTCCAGAACAGAAAGTGCTGCATCTTTCTAATATCTTCTCAATAAGTCACTCCAGTGGTAGAACCTGGGGTCAAGAACATGGGGGACATGCACTAGACCAGATCCACCTCTTGGTACCCCAAATTTGACCTTGAGGGTGGAGCTATCTGTGCAGGTGAGACTCCACCTGGAGGCCATCCACTTGGCACACTAAAGTCATGGGTTTGAGGACCCCCGAGGAGGAATGTCATGGAGGGAACATGGACCACTCTGCTGCTCACCTTCCTAGAAAGTGAGATACCCCAGCAGGCCATGGATGAGCGTGAGGGGTTTTGACCCCTCTCCCTGCTGATGTTGGCCCTGGGTTGGCCAGATGGAGATGCAGATGTCTCAATCAGGCCTTGGAGTGTGAATGGCAGGGCAGGATAATGCTGTCCCTGCAGCCTGCCCATGGGACCAACCCATCAGGCCAGCTGCTGCCTGGGGCCATGCAAACTTACCATGGTTGTGTGTCTGTGTGCTCTCCAGGAACATCCCCAGGCTCCAAGATGGCCCTGCAGAGCTCCTTCACTTGTTGGAATGGGACAGTCCTCCAGCTTGGGCAGGCCTGTGACTTCCACCAGGACTGTGCCCAGGGAGAAGATGAGAGCCAGATGTGCCGTGAGTAGATGGGGCTGCCCCACCCTGCCTGAGCCCAGCCCATGCTCATAACCCCGTTGTCCCCATTATCCCAGGCATGAGAGCATGGACAGCCTTCCTGATATCCACTGACACTTGTGACTCCTCTCATGGCAAAGCCACACAGTCTTCAAGAGGCAGAGCTAAGATTTGTGGTCTAGAAATAGCCTGGTCCGTAGTCATATAAGTCAAGAACCAAACAAGATCTTGTAAGTGATGCTATCAGCATCCTCAAGGCACAGAGAAAATGTGCAGGATAAAGCCCAGCTCTAATGTGACATTGGAAGTCCTCTATGCCCAGACTTCCCTCGCCTTCCAAGTCCCATTCCCCACCTGCCCCTCATCCTCTCCCTCCTCCATGCACCCCAGCTCCGGCTGTATGGAACCACCTTACAGATCCTTCATGCCTCCATGGCTTTGCTCACATGGTCTCCCCTTTCCTTTCTCGAGTCACATCTACTTCAAGACTCGCCCTGAGTCGATTCTTTCAGAAAGCCTCCCTGGCCATCCCCCACAAGTACCACTGGTTCTTCTCCCTCTGGATCCTTCCCCCACAATCCAGTGGATCCATCCAAATATCATCATTGCCATTACTTTTTATGAATAGTTTTGAGATACAATTCACATACAATTCACCCACTTCAAGTGTACAATTCCCTGTTTTCCATATAGTCACAGGGTTGTTCAACCATCATCACAATTTTATTTTAGAACATTTTTATCACCCCGAAAAGGAACCTGTAGTATCTCTCCCCATTTTGCTCCAAACCCCCTGCCATTAGCCTGAACCAACCACTAATCTTTGTTTCTATAGATTTGCCTATTCTGGGCATTTAGCATCCTACGAGGGGCCCACTTTCTCCATATCTTTGCCAACACGTCATATTATCTGTCTTTTTAATTTTAGCCATCCTAGTGGGCATGCATCCATTATGTTTTATGGAGGTGATTTCCATGTCTCTCTTCCTCTCTGTGGGTGGTTTGAGTCTGGTCATCTTTCCCATAGCAATACCTCTCATGATTCCTGGCACAGCGTCTGTGCTTACTGACTCTTCATTGATGAGAGGAAAGAATGAGTTGGGAAACTTGGACTCCATAGGGGAAAACAAATTGCCGAGGCCCCACTGGCAGTCGGGGCGGAGTAGACTCCCAGCTGGTGCTCCTGCACTTGAACATGGTGCTCCCCGCAGCTGCCTCTCCAGAAGTAATCACCGCAGAGCCCTTGATGTTTTTGCCACTGAAACCACCAACGCTTCCAGAATACCTACAGGCAGCTGGAAAATGTGCCAGATCCTGGAGCAGAGATGAATAACTTGGCATCTTCCCTCAAAGCACTGAAAGCTTCACACAGGGGCGGGAGTGAAATGGAGCCTGGACTGGGGAAGGAGGAGGCAGAATGGTGCCTGGGGTGGGGCCCAGACCCGGAGCAAATGCCTCACCTCCCAGATATGCAGACCCCAGTGGCCTGCAAGGAAGTTTCCAAAATACGTTTTAAAACAGGGCCCTCTGCCCCCAGTCATCTGGACCCTTTGTGGGGGGTGGAGAAGGTTTCATTTATTCTCATTTAAATTAAGCAATAAAGACATTCATTTTCCCATTTTTAAAACTTCATTTCTATACAAAACTTTCAAGTGAAGTTTTCCAATGATAATGGAATAGTTGTATGTTTTTAGATAAAACTCAGCAAAGAGTTACAGGGAAGGGCTTTGCTTACCCTGTTCTGTTCCGCTCCTGGCCTTTCTCGTATAGTTCTCACTACACACATGGCCCAAAGTGAAGCCAGTCCTGCCCACAGTGCCCTGTTCAGGGGCCTGTGTGTGTGTCTCTATTTATTTGTGTCTGCAGTGTTTCCAGCAGTGCCTCTGAACTCTGTGATTTCGCGATTGCCTTTTTCAAGTTTTTTGATACCTACTTCCCAGCTGGGACACAGGTCGGGCAGGCCATGCCCTGATTGACAATTGGGAAAATGAAGGCACAGATAAGGCAATTGACTTGTTCAGGGTCACACAGCATGTCAGGGACAGATTAGAGCCCTGAACCTTCAGGATCCAGTCCATTACTATGGGCTCAGGGCATTTCCCACCACTCCAAAGCTTACCACTACTGGTTTCCTGGCCAGCTCCAAGCTTCAGGGCAGTCTACTTCAGGCACTGAGGGCAAGAACCTGGGGCCCAGAGGCTTTTTCAGCCACATTTGAAAAGCGGCTCTGACAAGCTGTCAGAGTAACCCCTCCACCCTGGAGAACACCCCCACTGTGTTCTTGGCTACAGAAAGCAGTTGCTGGGAGGGAAGTTCAATTCAGGAGAGTTATTCCCACTCAGATCTTAGCAAAACTCTTAGAAAATATCCTTTTTCTTATTTGTGTGCCCTATCCTTTCCGGCATTTTTGCTGTGTTCCCCATCACACTAATGTTGACTCTGAAAACCATTCCCATGAAGATAACAACAGCAACAACACCAGCTTACCTGTTGAGCCTTTACTCTATGAGGCAGGAGCTGTTCTCAACACTTTTCATGTAGGAACTTGCTTCATCCTTACAACATCCTGTGTGATGCTATTGTACCCATCTTTGTTAGAGACAAGGAAGCTGAAGCTCACGGAGTTTAAGTGGTTGTCCACGATCAAACTGATAGCCAGAAGCTGAGCAGTGATTCAGGCTCAGTCTGACTTCAGAGCCACACTCAAACCACTGCAGGGTAAACTCTGTTTCACGAGCTTCCAGCACTTAGCTATGATAAGCACTGAACCTAGCCACAGACACACCCAGGATGAAGGGGCCAGGAAGAGACAGGGAGGTCCAGGGCCCTGCTACCGCCTTTCTCTGGGGGCCTCCCCCTCTGGGTCTCGGGTTCCTCATCTGTAAAGTGATGCCTACTGACACTCTGAGGTCTGAGAAACAAGCAGGAAGTGTTTGGAGCAGCTCCTGGCACAAAGTAAGTGCTCAGTAAATGTTAGCCAGTATTATTCATGTTATTATTTTCTTCAGGGGGATGGTTTCCAGAATCAACACCAACATCATAGGAAAATACTCTTGACTACACCAGCTCTTTCCAGGTGGTCTGGAACCTGTTAAAATGTTTCCTCTGAGCAGGTGTTCACACTGCAGCTCTGTTAGGAATGGCCAGGTCCTCTAAAGAACCTTCCTGAGGGTCTTTCATCTTGGGCCAGGGTAGTTGACCAAACCCTGCCATGGTTGGAATTTGGAAGGGGAAAGTAGGTTGCATTTAATCAACTCCCCCTACCAAAAGCCAGCCTCAACTCCCCACACCTTCCCAGAGGGAGTCCTCCGCACATGCTGGGGCTGCAAACAGATTATCAGACTCACTCTGGGCAACGTAACTGGATCTCTTTGGAGCCCTTAAAAATTCTAACAGTTGTCCAGGATGAGTGGAGGGCCTGAGATGGAGGTGACATTCCCTTGCCTTTTTCTAGCCAATCATGATCCTCATATGTCCACTGTACTCTCTCCTCCAAACCCACACTCCAACACAGTACTCTCGGTCCCCTCTCCAATACAGCCACTCCTGCATTTCTAATTAAACATCGCCAAATCCAAGTGAGACATCCCAGATGCTGTAATGCACTGAAGGGGGTCTTCGTGACTCTCTCTGCGTTCTGACCAATGGCCTCGATGGCATGTGGCTCCCTAGAAAGGGGCCAGATGTTCCCATTTCATCCCCTAGATGGGTCAGTGATTCACTAGGTATTGCAGACAGATCACTTTTCCCCCATGGACTTGATAATCTCATCTGTGTGCTGGGGATACTCTTCCTGCCAGGCAAAAACAGTGTTTTAAAAGTGTATTTCTTTATTGTAAGATAAAACATACTGGTTGTAAAATACAGAAAATCTAGAAATGTACACAAGAGAAAATAACTATCGCCCATAATCCTCCCTCTCAAACATTCAGAGATAACTGTAATATTTTGATGTATTTCTTCTAGCATTTTTCCCATGACTCTATATTTTCAAGAAAATGTATAGCACATATTTATCAAAAATGTTAACAGAGTTGTCACGCAGGAAGGAAAAGAAGTAGTGTCATTTGGCCTGGAGTTTATACTTGGCAGCTCCCACAGCTGCTGCTGAGGTCACAGCTCCATGACTGTACCAATTTGTCTCTCTTAGAGTGGAATCAGGTGTCATAATTGCCAAATGTTGCAGGATTGATTGACCTACCCACAGCGCGATTTGGCCATCCAGCCAATGAAATAACTGGCTACAGCCCAAGAAGGGGGTTGGTTAGAACAGTGCTTCTCCAGATTTAAGGTGCACAGGAGTCACTAGGGGAGCCTCTTAAAAATGCAGATTCTGATTCAGTGGGTTGGGGCAAGGCCTGAGATTCCACACATTTTACAGATTCATAGGTGATGAGGCTACAGCTGGTCCCTGGACCACATTTTGAGTGGTAAAGAGTTAGAGGATTGAGCCCACTCCCCTTTTGTTCAGCAAATAAGTTTTGAAGTCTTCCAGTGTGCTGACTGAGTAGGAGCTTGGGGCGAATGAGAAGAGAAAAGGATGATCAGAGGATGAGTTGATACCATTAGACCCAATCCTGCAGGCCAACCTTTTGCTCAGCAATTGGCCTTAGTGGTGATTTCCCAGTTGCAGCCTAATCCACAGGGGTCTTTGTTCCGACTCTTAACCTTAACCCACCAGCTTCCTCAGGAGTGGCTTCTGGCTGAGCAAGCTGCCCTGATGAGTTTACAATCATGGAAATCCTCAGCTCTCCTTCCTCCCTTAGGGGTTTTAATTGCCACATCAATTGTCCACTGGCCTGTCTTGCTCTTTTGCCTGCCTCCTCTCCCGTTATTGAGTCAGCCAGAAAGAAAAGGGGTTTCCACTCCCAGCTCACCCTGGATTCTATGCCAAGCTGAAACAAGAATGGGATTCCAGAGACAGAGAATGCTGATGGCTTTCTTCAGTGGCTTTCTTCTGTCCAGCTGAAAGGCATAGGCAGAGCTATCACATATGCAGCCTCCAACAAGCATTTCCAGAGAGCCAGGCAGGGACTTGCTGTCAGTTTCAGCCATACTCTGAAGAACTAGCTCCAAGTTAGGTGTGAATGGCAATTAATAACACTACCACCACTTTACATTTGCACCTCTCTGGCTGTTTACAAAGTGTTTCCACACTCTCTCCCCTACTTTATCCTCAAACCAGCTCAGTAAAATAGACACTAATACTGCCCCATTTTACAGATAAGGAACCTGAGGCTCTAAGGAAGAAGGGACTTTTGTAAGGTCACAAAGCAGGAAGTGGTGAGGCTAGAACTAGAGCCCATATGTCCGGATTCCAGTGCTGTTGTGCTAACAATACCCATGATCCAGGCTCAGTTCTCTCCCTCTGCCTCCTAAAAGGGTAAGGAGGGAGTGACGTACTGTGCATCTCCCACCTCAGGCCGGCCTCCTCCTTCCTCCAGGAATCCATCACCCACTGGAATCTTCCATCATGGGCCCTGGGGTGTTTTGTTTGTTTGTTTTTGCTTGTTTGTTTGAGATGGAGTTTTGCTCTTGTCGCCCAGGCTGGAGTGCAGTGGCACAATCTTGGCTCACTGCAACTTCCACCTCCTGGGTTCAAGTGATTCTCCTGCCTCAGCCTCCCGAGTAGCTGAGATTACAGGCACCCACCACCAGACCCGGCTAATTTCTGTATTTTTAGTCAAGACAGAGTCTCCCCATGTTGGCCAGGCTGTTCTCAAACTCCTGACCTCAGGTGATCTGCCTGCCTCAGCCTCCCAAAGTGCTGGGATTGCAGGCGTGAGCCACCGTGCCCTGTCGGGCCTTGGTTTTTAAAACTCACTTGTGAAGGACACTCCATGAGAAGGTCACTTCCACCAGTTGGTTTCTGCAAGAGAAGTAGATGTGGGATCCCTTGAGGGGGAAATAAAAAATAAAACAGAAAGTTCTTCTTAGCTTTGGGATTTTTAATCATAGAAACATGTGGGGCTTAGGGGGAAATTATTTCTTCAGGGGGGTATAAATGGGAAGAGATGTTCAAAGTCAGTGACAGCCTGTTTTAATTTATAATTCTGCCTCTGTGTGAAATGCACAGAGAATCTGGGGGAAATGAGTAATAATTCACTAAGGTGCTGTCACAGCCAGGAAGCGTTAGGGCCCTCTTTGTCAGCCTGCTGCTGCCAAGAAGGCTGAGACAGAGGAAGGACATGCAGTGCTGTGGGTCTCAGCTAGAGAGCTTCTTTCCTCCCACATGGAGACACAGGCTTCTCTGCAGCTAGGCTGGGAGGTGTTGGGGGCCATCAGAATCGCCTGGAATAGGCCACTAGCTCCTTAGGGCTGAGTGCCTTTCCTGGAGCCATGCTCAGAGTGAGCTGGAGAAAGTGAGCTCTCTCCCTCACCCTCTTATCCTTTCCTCTTCCTTCTGTGGGCAGTTGGGAAATATACAGTCTAGAAAGCTGACTGTCACCTCTTCAATAGGACCTGAGATCAGTCTGATGTAGAGAAAAAGATGACGTGCCCTTTGTGCTGAGCCCACTGATGATATAAAGAGGCCCCAATGACTGGGATTGTTTGATCAGGACAGGCTAGATTATGCTGCAGTAATAAACCCCATATCTCAGTGGCTTGGGATAACATTTACAGTACCCGTCCAATGAGGGTGTGGGTGGGAGGGGCCTCTGCTCCACAGGATCACTCAGGGACCCAGGCTGGCAGAGGCTCCTCCGTCAATATAGTGTCACCCTTAGGAACAAGAACTTTCATTGGTTGTTTCAGCAAGGGAACAGAGAGACCAAAGATTTACACAAGGGCTTTTAGCAGCCTTAATTCAGAGAAGATACATCACTTCCACTCACATTTCATTGGCCAGAGCACATCATATGTCTTCACTTAACTGCAAGCGGGTTGGGAGAGAAAGGAAAGCAAATGGAAAGTTTTGAGCAATATGTGTCTCTGCAGACAGGTAATTTGATGGACCCAGACAAACCCCCAGCCAACACTACCACAACCACCACCACAGTCTGGACATTGTATCAACCATTAGAAATGTAGTGAGCTATACAGTGGCTTCTCCTGGGGTCACATTCATGGTGGCTGAGTATAAAGAGTGCAGAATTTAGAAGCAGAAGACCTGGGTTCGAGTCCTAACTGGGTTATCTGTTAGCTGTGTGACCTTGGTCAAGTTGCTTCACATTTCTGAGCCTCTGCTTTGTCAGATATACAACTGGACTAACAACACCCATGCTGAAGAGTTATTTTTCCTATTTTGTTTTCTGTAGATAAGAAAACTGTAAACCAGCACGGGCATCAGTTAGGGCTTGGGGGCTTCTCTTCATTATAATCAGTGTCATTAGTCATCCAGCATTCTGGCTGGGGAGCTATATTACTAATGAAGATAATTTGGTCATGCCTGGCTAATTCGACTTGGCATTGGCATATTTTGCCTTTAGTGGTCCTGAAAATGATGGTGCCTCTCTGCTCTCTCCATAGGGAAACTGCCTGTGGGTTTTTACTGCAACTTTGAAGATGGCTTCTGTGGCTGGACCCAAGGCACACTGTCACCCCACACTCCTCAATGGCAGGTCAGGACCCTAAAGGATGCCCGGTTCCAGGACCACCAAGGTACTACTGCTCTCCTGCCTTCTCTCTGGTGCCCATCTTCATGCCCACATAGACAGATGGGAGACTCAGGGCTGGACTTCACCCCACCTGCAGGGCAAGCTCGGGTGTCTGACCAAAGCTTGCCTAGAGCGTTCACACACAATTCCCTCTTCACACCTTGGGCTTTCGAGTGATTAAATCTGGCCAAGATAGATGTCACCTTTGGTTACTTAAAATAAGAACCATGAGGAGGGATTAACAAAAAGATAATAGCAACAACGATAATAATCCTTTCCATCAACAAGTATGTGCTGAGGGCGTCCTATGTGTCAGGCACATAATTCATTGAGAGGCAGGGAAAGCCATAGCCCTCTTTATGACTGGGGAGACTGAGGCACAGCAAGTCCTTGTGTCATTTGCCCCAGGGTTGTGCCCAGGGAGCCTCACCCTATACCCGGTCCATGGTCCATTCCCTGCAGCACAGCCTCTCCAGCCATCCCCCTACCTCACCCCTGATTTAAGCTAGTAATGCCTGTCCTCCCCTCTCCGGGGTCCATCCTCCCCACAAACCCTGCGTGTCTGGCAGAGAGCAAAGGGCCTCCACGCAGCCAAGAGATAGCCAGCCCCTCCTGGGTAAGCTGACTCCAGACTCAGAGACACCAGGCTGGGCAGGATGTGGGATCACAGAGGGTCTATATGGCCAGCAGAGCTCCCAACGTTAGGCTGCTGGAGAGGCCAGGCTAGCCAGCCTTGGGGGCTGTCCCTAGTGGTGGGACCCGGGCAGGCCC
The DNA here is from genome assembly GCF_000001405.40 of Homo sapiens. Lineage (NCBI taxonomy): Eukaryota > Metazoa > Chordata > Mammalia > Primates > Hominidae > Homo > Homo sapiens. The sequence continues at coordinate 29,319,983 of NC_000002.12, read as the reverse complement.
TGGTGCCCACCTCTCTGCAGCATAGGGCTGATGGGGTGGGAAGGTCTCTCTCCTTCTTCTGTCCTCTTCATTTGCCTTCTTTCTATGGAACTAGAGACCCTCCAATGCTTATTTGTTGAACAGTGAGTTGGCTCAGTCCCCACTGTGCAGCAGCATCCTTCTTAGCATTCTGTCTGTAAAAGACGCAGAGGAGAGAAATGGAGTTCCAAGCTGGATGTGCCCTTCATGTCTCTGTTCCCAGTTTGATAATTTCCACTACAGCACCCATAGCAAATAAGCATCCAGCCCTGCGGAATACCGCCAGTGACAGGGCTCCCACTGCCTCCTAGAGCAGACATGCTGTTGTTCTCAATCACAGATTAGCTTTCCTTACCTGGAGGCAAGCTCCACCTCTCCATGACTTCTACTCATTTATCATGCCTTTTGCCCCCTGGAGCCCCACAGAACTGAACTACCCCCTCTCCCACCAAGGCAGCCCCTCAGAAATCTGAAGGGAACAATTGTGACCCGCCTGCCTGCATGAGGGCTTTTCTGTCCCCAGTCACACAATGCCAGCTCCTTGAATCTCCCTCATGCTTGCTGAGATCTCTTGGTTACTCTGCCCTTGACCCACCCGAATTTGTTACTTAATAACAGCCTTTACTGAGAGAGGCAGAAAGGTAGAAAGGAAAGACTAAAGTATAATGCTTGGGGTTCTGTGGCCCCCTAAAGTGTTGTGAGCTCACAATGGCACTCATACCACAGCACCGGCCACGTACAAAATGCTCTGCAGACCCTGAAAGTTTGCAGATGCTTCTTCCCACCACCACGTGTGGATGGGAGCCCCTGTTCTCCCAGATTTTCAGGCAGAGCCATGCTTAGAAAATATAAGAAGTGAGTCTTCATGGGCAGGGGCACAGGACGACCTGGGTTCTGGACAGGGGAGAAGAGAGTGAAGGTCACAGAAACCACTGGAAGGCCACGCATGACTGAAAATGGGGAGGGTGGAGCTGGGGAGGCCAGTGTGCTTCAGGCTAGTCCTGGGCCATGGGCTAAAGCTGGTGACCTTGGAAGATCAGGGATGTGGTAGCCCAGATGATGGTGCTGGGACCTCACAGGCAGTTTAGAATGAAATTGTTGGCCAGGCGCAGTGGCTCATGCCTGTAATCCCAGCACTTTGGGAGGCCGAGACGGGCAGATCACCAGGTCAGGAGATCGAGACTATCCTGGCTAACACAGTGAAACCCCGTCTCTACTAAAAATACAAAAAATTAGCCGGGCGTGGTGGCAGGCGCCTGTGTAGTCTGCCACTTGGGAGGCTGAGGCAGGAGAATGGCATGAACCCGGGAGGCGGAGCTTGCAGTGAGCCAAGATCGCGCCACTGCACTCCGGTCTGAGCTACAGAGCAAGACTCTGTCTCAAAAAAAAAAAAAAAGAAATTGTTGACAGGTGGGCTTTCTTCTCCATTGCAGGCCAGAAACCTGTTTCCTCAAAGATATCCCTAGGCTAGATAAGAACTGTGCACAGTCCATTAACCCTGCACCCCTGGTCCCCCAGTTCCTGATAATGGCGTGCTTGTGATTCTTTTCCTCTCTCCTAGACCATGCTCTATTGCTCAGTACCACTGATGTCCCCGCTTCTGAAAGTGCTACAGTGACCAGTGCTACGTTTCCTGCACCGATCAAGAGCTCTCCATGTGAGGCAAGTCTCCTTGTTTCTCTAGTTCTCTAATTTCTCCTCCCACCTCTTGTCACTTCCGGAACCCAGATTAAGAAAGTAGCCTAGCTGGCTGGGCTGGTCGTTCTCCTGGGGAGAGAACAAGAGGGCCACCTCTGCCATCTTCGAGGCAGAGCATGTCCATCAACATGGTAAAGCCCTATCTACAGAGAATCATGCCTTAAACAGCCATACCCAGCTGCACTGAACTACTTGCAGTAGAACCATGATTTAATCAAACCCAGAAGAGATTTTCCATGGCATAACAAGGGAGAGTGACAAGGATTGCAAAAGACTTTCTACAGAATCCTTTTTAAAAACATTGAGCTCTTGTAATACATTGTAAATACTATACATCCTCAAAAATTTGATTTACATAAATTTCACTAAGACATCAATGGCATTCAGTGAGGTACCTCCAAAACTACTCTCTCAAATGGTTCCTGATGCTGTTATCTCATTGGTGTGGGTGGAGGGACTGGCGCCCTGTTCCTTAGCATACAGTCATATTCTTTAGGGGCCAAGAAATGTACTTAAGACCCCAGCATGGTACAGTGATTAAGCTCATGGACTCTAGAATCAAATTTCTGAGTCCAAGTCGGGTTCCACCACTGATTGATTGTATAGTTTGTTTGGGCAGTTAATTAACCTCTTGGGGCTTCAGTTTCCTCACTGGGAAAGTGAACACATTTATAGTGCCTATCCTGAAGAGTGAGGATTAAATAGATAATGTCCAAAGGGCTTGGAAGAGCATTGGGCACAAAGTAAGCACTGCAGTATTTAGCCCACAGGGTGCCTGGCACACTGTATCAACATTCAGAAGGACACTGGGGGAAGAGGAAGAGAACTTGAGCCAGAAATCAGACTGTAAGCTCCAAGAGAGCAGGCCATGTCTTGTGCTTCTTTGTACTCCCTCACTGCACCTGCATCAACATCTTGCGTGTAGTAGAAAACCTACACGTAGTTTGGGTTTGGCCAGTCATCTCGTTCTGGACACTCACAGGAGAAATTCCTGTCTGGCTCAGTTTCAGGAATAGCTATGCACCCTCTGAGCAATTTGTTTCCTGTCAAGTTGTAGACATTGTGAAACTGACCAGATTCACTTCTCCTTCTGTGGCTAATAGAAATCCCAGGGTGGTGGTTCTGTGGCCAGCAGAGGGACAGACAACAGGATTGCCCCTGCTAAGGGATGCAGGCAGAATCAAGCCCCTCGAGTTTCTCATAAAATAAAAACTCACAGACAGAAAACAAATAAGAATGGAAAAGATGTAGAAATGATTTTTTAATCCGAGGAGTGGTTAAATTAAAACCAAGGCTCCACTTGGCAAGCAAATGGGACTTTGTGATATGCAATTTGTAGCAGCTTACTCCTGGTTTGATTTTATAACTCGACATTCGCCACTTCCTTCTCACCCTCTTCTAGGCTATGCTATCCTACTAGATTTTATGTATCTCTGTGAACCACCTTAAATCCTTTTTGGAAGAATTCTGAGCACAAATAAATAGATTCATTAAATTAAATTGTGTTTGAGAAACCATGCTATCTCATGCAGATGGTGGAATTACACAGTCATTGCTGATATTTCTCAGGTGTCTGAGAGCAGGTACCTAGAAAGGAAGGCTTTTTGAGAGAACATATAAATGAAGACAGATGGTTGGCCCACCGGAGAGGACGGGAGGATCCTTAAGAGCATTTGGTCTTTAAATTTACTCTTCGCTGGGTTTAATATGAGCCAAATTTCAGAAAAAGAAATGTCAAGGTACAAATGATATTATTCTAATACTTCATCATTTCTCTAATAACCTTTGAGTTGATCAATAGCTTAAACAGGTGTTTCGTTTTACTGGCCTGTTTTATTTTTCCTGCAGTCTAATTTGCTCTGGGCTGTTTCTGCTATTCCCTGCCCTTTTCCAGAACTTGGCTCAGCAGGCATAATGAAAGGAAGGGAATAAGTCCATTCCACACTCACATTATTTATATTTATATATATTCATATGATTTCACATTCAGGTTTTCAGACCATTTGTCTAATGCTGATGGGTCTTTGAATTCCCAATGTTGGGAGAAATGTTTTTATCAGGAAAATAAATAACCAAAATAGAAATATGCATTTCTAGATTTGTAAGCCCTACCATTTATTTTATGTGAATCCTAAATGCAGAATGCAGGAAGTTGATTTCCTCCTCCCGGGCGGGCTAAACCCCAGTGGCAGAAAAAAATGGATATTGCATTTCTCTGGGGGACTATGTGAGGTTCACTCAGGGCTTTCAAACCCCACCAACCCTACAGGGGCCTCTGTTGCCTATGGGGCCCGAGTGCAGAAAGATGGACACTAGGCAGAGTTTTGGGGACAGGACTCTGATGAGCATCAGGCCTACAGGGACTGGCGACTGGTCCAGCTGAGCCCTGAGGCTGATGCCTACCACGAAGGACCTTCTTCAAACCCAGCTCAGTCCTGGTCTCCGGGAAGTTAAAGTCATCGTACACTATCTCAAGACACCACAATCATCAGTGGATTCCCAGAGAAGAACTGGTGTCATCTTCAAGAATTTCCTGCAAAGTCTAGAAAGTGAGTTAACCAGTAGTTCTGTGTTTCACCAGTCACATTCACCTGGAAAATGTAACAAATGCCCCACCCTGGACCTACTGAATGACATCGCGAAGAGTGGGGCCCAGGGCTCTGCATTTTTAAACCCTATCCTTGGTGATTTGGAGGTGCACTGAAACTTCAGAGCTATTGGCCGTAGGTGTGCTTGCCAATTGTGACTGAAATTCATTCTGAGCCCATGCAGAGAGTTTTCCTCCTGTCTGTGGCCCCAAATAGCGTGATGTCACTTGTCTTTTAGAAAGATGAGTCAGAAAAGGGATGAGAAATGATGGAGGCGGGGGAGAAGAGAAGCGGGTGGGAGAGCATATGAAACCAGGTCAGGAGCCCCCCATGATGGAGGCATAGCCACAGTGTGCCTTTGTGCCAATCTAACTTCCAGGGCATTCCAGAAGCCTGCCCCACTCCCACCTCCTCCCTCCAGGCTCCTGCAGCCTGCTCTTGCTGACTACCACGGCTGCCTCCTATCTCTCTGCACAGTTACACACGGGGCATGAATATTTAAAGACCTCTGCCTCGCCCAGCCACAAACAAGAAAGAACGCTGTGGTTTTGGTTTTCTTTTTGTGTTCCTCCTCTCCGCCACAAGCTCTTCTCTGCAGGAAACTGGGGAGCCACTTACAATATATTCTGATGTTATTTTTATTTTTATTTTTCTGAGCTCCAGTTCAAATAATTAAAGTTGCCACCGGGGAGGGAAGGCTTGCAGTGGCTTTCATGTGCTCACTTGCTGTCAGACCTGCTCGAATCCGCCTCGGCTTTGAGACACCCGCGGATGTGTCTGGCATTGCAGCCGCTGGTAATAAAGAGCACGGCAGAGTGGCGGCTGACACCACCCCAGCCCCCTGCCTTTCACACACCCCAGCAGCCTGAATGTCTCAACAAGCCCCGTGTGGTTTGAAATTCTATTTTATTTGAATAGCCTGCCTGTGACTAGAATAATTTAAACCACGTTCTCAGGCCTTCTGGGCCTGCAAGGAGAAAAAGTGGACTTTCCTCATTTTCTTTCCCCTCCAAGGCATGGAAGCAGTTTTTCTTGTGTGAGCTACAGAAGTGCAATTTGATCCAAAAATGAGATGGGATCCCCCCAATTTGTGGTGGTCAGTTCCTCAATGCTGGTTTTCCTACCTGGCCAGAGCTGCAGTTGCGTCTCCCCTCTTCTCACACATACATATGTACACGCAAACACACACACACATACACACATGCGTGCACACACCCTCTGGGATCTTGGGACACAGCCGAACCTTTCCACCCCTGACGTCACCTCTAGCAATAAAAGGAATCAGGTTGGATTAGCTGTGGGGAGCTGCTGTGATCTAGGCAGAAGGTGACCAGCGGGCCCCTTCCACGTCTACATGGGCCTGGAGAAAAGGGGACCCATCCTTTGTGTCATTAAAACCAGCAAATGTAGCCCAGAGGGATGTGAGAAGACGCCATGGCCCCTGGAGTTGACCTTGGCCATCCATCCCTGAAGCCCTTCTCAAAGGAAGGCACCCGAAGGCAGGGAATTTTTCTGTAAATTGCTCTCTGATTGATTTTGTAAGACTTTTCAGGGTGCTGGTGATCATCCCTGGAAACAGGCTTATCCTTCCCTCCAGCCTCTCAGTGTGACGCAGAAGCAGGGAAGCCGAGAGGCAGGCTGTGTTGATTGGGCTTATTGAAGCTTGCCCCCGACCTCGGCAGCAGGCAAATAGGACTCTGAAGATGGGAAAAAGAGAGGAACTTTTCTGACTGCTGTGTTTTTAAAGTTTATTAAACTCAGTGACAAAATCTTCTGTGGAAAGTCAAGAAAAGGAGGATAAGAGTAAGAAAACTTAGTATCAGATGGCATGAGACCGAGGAAAAACAAAAGCAGAAGGGGACCTTCCTTTATCAGCCCCCACCAAACTCTCGACAGGAGCCAAAGAAGATGAGCATAACTATTGAATTCAACTCGTTTTCCAGAGCAGATCCTATGCATCACGGGCTCCCCATCCAGATCATGAAATTCACCTCAAGACCCACAGCTAATAAACACAAGACCAAACCTAGATCTTATGATTCTGAGTTTCATGCTCTTCCTGTCACACTGCCCTGCTGGAGACAGATGGAACCTTCTCAACTTGGGGAGAGTTGATGAGAGCTTCAAAAGCATCAGAACTGGCATTACTGTCACCTAACTCAGAGCCCCACCACCTCATTTCTGCAGGCAGATAGAGAATCCCACCCCATTGTGTAAACAAAGAGTTCTCCCCTTCGTCTCTCCACAGGCTGGGAGTAGTCACTGGGTCTAACTCCTGAGCCACCAAGGGGACACTGCCACTCACCTACAGGACTCAAATGGAGTTTGTTCATTGGGTGGGCCTCATTCTCGGCCCCATGTGATCCAACTTACTTTAGCAAATCAGGAAGGAGAAGCCATTCCAGGAGGCCTCATGGGCTTGATTGCAAATAAAGTTGTTATTTCCTGGAGCCAGTTTACCTTCTGCATAGAACGGATGACCATCTAGGGAGAAGAATATTGCACACTTCCCCTCTCTGGGCTGACTGGTAGAAGAACAAGCAAGCCCCTATCAGAGCCCACCTGGGACCAGCCTCTCTGCCCATGCATGGCCAAGCAATGCTACACTTTGTGGTGTTTGTAAAACCCTTCTTGTAAATAGTTGGGGACCAGTACCAAGCTAGAGGGATTCCAGGGTAATGTTATCTCTATCTCCCTCACTAAGCCCAAGTCCCTTTGGTCAGGTATTTGGGGACCAAGATACTCATCAGGCAGAGTTCCTGTGGATGTCCAACCCCCATCTCATCTGATGCTGTGACATCTCTGCAGTGACAGAATGTGCCTGAATTGGGAGAAAGCAAGTCCAGCTCTAGGAGTCAGTGCTTGCCTAAATTAAGAGCAGATCCAGCTAGTCTGGCTGGGGATTGTTTTCACACATGCTGTTCTCTGCACACGCCTCTTCCTGCATTGGAGACCACGGTCAGGACCCCAAGCTAGCATATGATCCCTCTAAGTTGTCCACTCTCTGCCCAGGAGGACATAATGTTGGGCCTATCAGAAAGCACAGGGCTCCTCTGGCTCCCACAGTGTAATGCTGATACCTAGAGCAAGTCGGAGCAGGGTGGTGGCTCCAGGTAGAGCTGCCTCCCTCCTGCCCCACAGCCCAACAGCCACGCCATCTCCTGTGACCAGAAGAATCCAGCTGGCCATGTGGGGCCAGTGCAAAAGGAGCATCACCAAGGCAACGTGGTACAGTGGGAAGGACAGGGCTTGAAGTCCCTTAGCCCTTGGAGGAAGCCCCCCCACTTTCTAGCCTGGAGACCTTGAGTATAGCGACCCACTGTTCTCGGCTTCAGTATCCTCTCCAGGGCTGTCAGGAGAAATGAGTGAGAGGAGATATGAAACATGCCCAGCCTGAATCTAGACACAATTAGGTGCTTAAAAATGGAACCTGTGGTTTCTGCTACTCTGTTGTAGCCATTACTATTATTATCTTCTTATCTGACTTTAGTGATGATTCTGAGACCAAGGCTGGAGCCTGCCTTCTCCAAGGAGCCTGAATCTGGAGGGTTTGGCCTCTGCCCTGCCCTGGGTAGCCTGGCAATATGGCAACACCCCTCTCCCAACTATTGCCAGTGGAGAGGGGTGTTGCCCAGCTCAGTGGCTGGAGTCAGAGGAAGTTTATGCTTTAACAGCAGCCAAGGGGGCCCTGCCACCCCTGTCCACCATCTCCACCAGCTCCTCTCCCCAGCCAGCATGGGCATGGGAGCTCCCTCCTCCAATCTGCCAAAAGTCCCTTTGCTCCACTGCCCCATCAGCAGACACCTACACAGAACAATAACCCCATACCTTGATATAGTCCCAACATGTTTACAGAGGGGCCTTCCCCCACATCGCCCCCATCCCCCAGAGAAGATGATATTGTCACCTTTTTATAAATGAGAGAAGGCTCAGGAGAGGAACCTAGACCACACACAGCTGGCCAGCAAGGCCCACAGTGTCCTCCAGATGCAAGAGCATCTCCACTTTCCCCAGGGGAGCTCCTGGGAGTGGGACAGCTGCCGTCAACGAGGTCACTCAAGGCAGGGAGGAAGTCTGGTGACACGGCCCAGAGCAGAACGTCATAAGCCTGACTTTTCTTTTACAAACCCCTTTTTTTAACTTAAATGTCAATTCTGTATTTTATTCCTTAACATACCTATTTGTTTGGACACAAAAACATGCCTCATTATTTACTATTGAGTGGCTAACACTCCAGGAAGCTACACCCTGTTTGCCCTGTGGCTTTGGGTACCCCTAGGAAGAGCTGAGCAGCATATGTGCCCCTACTCTAAGAAACCCAGAGGAAGAGCTCCCACCCTCACTGCCGTTTTCGGAAGCCCCAAGGCCTCCCCACCTTTAGGATCTCACTCCATCCCCTAGGTCACAATTAGGCTCATAGATGGTGCATTTTGAAGAGCACCTGCTCTGCCTTGGTTGGCCCTGAAGTCAGCTTCAACTATGGTTGCCCCTCATCTACCCCATGAGTCACCCTCACCCTGGTGCTGAAACCTCAGGAGGGCTGAGCCCTGGCAGCTGCTAACACTGCTGGTGATGGAGACAGTAACCTCAGAAAGCCTTTAGCTGGGGTCTAGGCATCCGCAACTTTGTGTTAGAGGGCAAGGGCCTCTAATACAAAGGAGGAAGCTGCAGTGGTTCTCGAGGCATTTTCCAAATGGCTTTTTCCAAAGGCTCTCTACATGAGTAAGAGATTTGGGCCCCACTTCCAGTCTCTAATGACAACCGTCCAGACACCTGTAATAACATCACTGTAATGAGAATCCCCTGTGTGTCAAAGCTTACAGAGTCTCTCCACCTCCCACGGCTACCCTGTGAGTGGATAAAATCTTCCCTGTTCTGATGAGCCCCTGAGCCATGGCAACAAGGCACTTGACTGGCTGGATGCACACACGGACCCCGAGCAAGAGGGATGAGCGAGGGAGGGACACTGAGGGTCCACAGTTAGGTGGTGAACCAGCAAGTATTGATTTCAAACCTGCCGTGTGGCCAGCCATGCGGGGAGATAGCCCACAGGAATCTGGGATCTCTTTGGGGTGTTTATTCTACAGAAAAGTTAAGAACACTTACATTCAGTGTGAAAACTTCTGGTCTTCAGGTCACTTACAAATCACTTGGCTGTATTATGCTGAAAAGCAAGCCATTATTCTTAATGAGGGCCTTCGAACACCCTAGCTCTTTGCACCCTAGTAGAAAGAAGCCTTCACTTAGTCCAGTGCTGGAGGAAGGGACCCTTAGTATCGATAAAGCCAACTAAGGATGTAGTTTTCAAATATTGATTCCCTAGTATAAGGCTGGCACTATGCTAAGCATTTCACCTACATTATCTCGTTATAAAAAATTATTACCCCCATTTATTGATACAGAAACTGGAGCTTAAAGAGTTTAAGTGACTGCCCAAAGTCACCCTGCTAGAGGCAGAGTCATGATTCAAACCAGGTCTGCCCAACTCCCCAACCAAATCTATAAATACTCGATTTGATTTAGATGGCCTGAGTTTAGATCCCAGCTCTGCCCCACTGAGGAGCCATATGACCTCAAGCAAGTGACTTCCTTTAATTTGAGAAAACAACAACAACAAAAAACCTGTTTTAGTTGCTGCATGAGGTTGTTACCAGGATCAGAGGAAAATGTGAAAAGCCTTTGTCTTCTCTGCAAAGCTTGATGAATGGCAGCAATTATTATTATTATGATCCCTCATCTTACGTTACTCAGGCATGAGGAAGTTGCTGCTGCATAAATTCAGCCACTGCTTGTGTTCTGATTTCTCCTCTCAGTCAATCAGCAACACGTGGGCAGGTCGGGAGCGTTATTTCACACAGTGTCCACATTAGCACCAGCAGGACATGCCCAATAAACCCACTTCGTTGATAATTAACTAATTAATTGTGCAGCCCCACCCCCACCCCCCACGGTTGCAAGCATAACCCTCTTCCAGGATGAGAGTGAACAAGAAGACTCCTCAATGAGTCTCGAGGACCCAACAAATGACACCTTCCTGAGCTTTCTGAGCCAAAGTCATTCTTACCCCAGCACCTAGAGCTAGGAAGCCACTGGAGCCCAGCATTCTATCACCACTGCCTGTTAAGTGGTCGACTCTGCCAGAGCACTTGCTAATGCCTGCAGTAATCAACAGCAATTGTAACTGCAGTCAGACATAATTAATGTAATACCTTTGAGCCATTCACAACTAATACCTCTCCCATTGCATGATGAAGCTGAGGTCTAGGAAGAATCACTGTCTCAGCCCCTGGGTGTGAATAGGATCTTCCTTGGCACTTGGCACAGACTTGGTTCCCATTCAAAAGCTGTATGTTAATCACAGACCTCTCTGGCTCCCACTAGTGGTCATTGCAACACATTCATGTCACCCATATATGGGGGAACACCCCATTGAGAGCACACACTCCCTCCAGCTATCAGGGAAAAATACTCCCCAGAGGGCTCTGGGCCCCCTGCAGATGCTCCTGTGCCCCACATCTACTTTTTCCAGTGGTGTCCGTGAAGGCTGTGGGAGTTTCATTGCCTAGAATCATCCTGTTCCCCAGCAGTCAGATTACAAAGCTACTCCTCAGTGTCATCTCCATCATACACAGAGAAACTGAGACACAGAGGAGGCCGTTTGCCCAGGATCACACCATGACAGTGTGACTGAAGAAAATACCATCTTTTTCTTCCCATAAGCCTGGAAAGATAATTCTCTAGGGAACCCAGAAGATTAAAAAACAGCAACAAAAAAAAAAACCAGACAGAAACTTTAACACAGCATTTTCACCCTGTCGTAGTCTGTTTTTTGTGAACTGTTTATCTCTAACAAAGTGTCCCCTGCCTGCTCTTTTCCATGCAGGAGAAAGGAACTAACATTTATCAAATGTCTTCGCTAAGCTGGGCACTGGTCTCATATAATCTTATTAAAGCCCCATAATAAATATCTAAGCAGGGTACTGTTGACCCCACTTGACGGAAGAAGATGCTGAAGCTCTGAGATATTACGTGATACGTAAAAAATAGACCATTCTTTCTGATACGAAAGCTTGCGTTCCGTTCACAGCACGGTCCCACCGCATTCCACAGAAGCTCCCACCTTCCCTTGATCTCCCTCACAAAGCCTAGAGTACAGGCACAATAACTTGATTCTCCCTGAAGTGGGTAAAAACATAGTACTAGCTTTTACTGTTTTCCAACATCAGAATCCTCTCTCACCACCTTTTTAATATAGCATTTATTGCTTTCTCTGATTATAAAAGAACTTTATGTTCATTGTAGAACATTAGGAAAAATGCAGGAAAGTATGAAGAAGAAAATTGAAATTGCCCAAAATCTTACCCCCCAAAGATATTGGTACATTTCCTTCCAGACAGATAGATTTAGATTTGAGCTTTGCTATAGAGAAAGGGTTTATATAAATATAAACATCCTGTGTCTTATTTCTTATTTAACATTACATTTTCCCATATCAATATTAGTCTTCATAAACATGCTTTTAACAGCTGCACACTCTAAATTAATTTCATTGTTTTTGTTCTAGTTATCAAAAGTCAGATATTCATTGTAAAAAAAAAAATTGGAAAAGAAAGAAAAGACCACAGAAGAAAAAAAAAAAACTTGTAACTTTATAACCTCACCAGCCAGAGATCTCAAGGTGATTATTTTTGTATGTGGCCTTCATGTTTTTAGAAAGAGGGCATATGAATGTCCACTGGTGTTCCCTGGCTTCTACATAATCCCTCAGAAAAGAAACATTAAGTGGTATTTTCAGGAAGGATCCTGATCTTTTAAGTATCCTGCAAGACCAGGAATCCAGCATTTCTTAAGCCTCCATAATTGCAAGCATTTGCCAGAAACGTGTTTTATTTCCTTGTTATCAAAAATCTGCATCTGGCCAGCTTCTTGCTGTGCTGGGTTGATTTGTCATTAGGCTATTTATAGCTAGAGAGTTGGTGTTTCATTTTTCCAGGTGAACTAGAAGATGGTGAACAAAAACACTGGATTTTGCAGTGAGTCAGTATTCTCAGCTGAAGTTAAGAAGATACCACACTGAAACCAGGGAAGTCAAAATTACCGGTTCACACTGAGAATTACAACCCTCTGGCACCCTATATTGAGGGAGAGCCTTAACCCCCATACAGAGATGTTCCTGATGACAATTCCAATCCCAGTCATTCAACAGAGACTGGATGGGGAATACCCAGGGAGTACCCCCACCATGCAAGCTCATCTTTGAGCATCTCTGTTAAAAATGTGTTTCCTTCTCTTGAAGTGAAATACACACTACAGCATCTAGCCTTGGTTTTGTCTCTACTATTGGAATTCATGCAGGTCTTCAGAAATTTGAAGAAAGATAGCACCTGCCCCGTCAGAACATTTCCTACATTTAGGGGTGTTGCATGCAGAATAGATATTATTTGATGTCACTGAGTCTCTTTTGATCACTGCAGGCTTTTGAACACACAGTATTTTCTGTGGGTTGAAGGGATTGTCCTGAAGCTGCCACGAGGTATGCATAGCAAACATGGGGCATATTCAAGACATAAAATTGCAATAATTACCTCTGGAGGAGGAATGGGCCATGAGAGAAATAATAGCATTAGGCCTAGCCACAATGCCGTTCCGGCTTTACATACAGGACTTTAATTAATAAAATGACAAACACTGGTACCACATAATTGGAAAGTCTATCAGTCCCTTCCGAGAGGCAGGAAAAAATGGCCCTTGTGAAAGCGCTGGCTGGAACCAGAAGATATAATTGCTGGTGGCGTACTCCTGGTGTTGTCTCTACTCACTTGTCTCATTTGCTGTCTGCATATAAAAGAGTTTATTAGTCAAACACTGCCATTTATAACCTATATCTACTAGGATGTGTCTAGAAGGATCAAAAATTTTATTGTTACTGGCATCAGCAAGCGTTATTTCCCATAAATATAATTTAGAATTTGTGTCAGATTTCGCATATTTGTGTGAATACACACACAAACACACACACACACACACGACTGTTAATTGTCTGGTAAGGACAATGGTTGTAAATGCATTAAAATTCACTAGCTCCCTAATTTCTCCAGCACGAAAGTATTTCTAGGATAAGATCTTGTTAAAATATAAATTCTGATTCAGAAGAGCTGGGGCAGGCCCTGAGACCCTGAATTTCTAATAAGCTCCCAGGTAGCGCCCACATTGCTGATCCAAAGACCACACACTGAGCAACAAAGATCTGGAAAATCTTTGCAATATGCCCCCAAAGCTTTAAGGAGTACCATAATATATTACATGGGCATTGCACTCCATGTATGGTAGAAAGAACACAGAGCATAGTGTGGACTCCAGGTCTGCAGCCTGTGGGCTTAGTGCCCAGGGGTGACTGACTTAACGTCTCTAAGCCTTCAATTCTGCATCTGAAAAATGGGTGGAATAATATCTACACAAAGGGATGTTGTCAGTATACAGTGAGATAAGCCTACGTGCAAGCGCCTAGTTCAGCTTCCTGGCATTCAGTAAAGAGTCAATTAACAAATGACTTCATATCCAGTAGGCCAGGGGTCCCCAACCCCCAGGCCACCGACCAGTACTGCTCTGTGGCCTATTAGGAACCAGGCCACACAGCAGGAGGTGAGTGGCAGGCAAGTGAGCAAAACTTCATCTGTATTTACACCCACTCGCCATCCCTCGCGTTACTGCCAGAGCTCTGCCTCCTGTCAGATCAGCAGTGGCACTAGATTCTCATAGAAGTGCGAGCCCTATTGCACTGATCTGACATTATGGTGAGTTGTATAATTATTCCATTATTTATTACAATGTAATAATAATAGAAATAAAGTGCACGATATATGTAATGTGCTTGAATCATCCTGAAACTACCCCCCAACCCCCAGCCCCTGGTCTGTGGAAAAGTTGTCTTCCACGAAACTGGTCTCTGGTGTCAGAAAGGTTGAGGACCTCTGCTGTAGGCCACCCAGATAGAAATAGGTCTTAAGATGGAATTCTAAGGGTGTTTTTGGACCAGAACCTTGACTGCCAAGATCAAGCTGGGTATACTTGGCATGGGTATTTACATAAAATGATATCAAGGGACCTCTAACCAAGGACTGTGTAAGGGAAATGAAGGTCTTTGAGAGGGACTTGAGCCTGCAGTCTGCTCTAGGAACCACATACAGTGAGTGCTGTCTAATGTTAGACACATGTGATCAACAAGGAATACTCAGTAAGAACTGATACCAGGCCTCCAGGTCTTCTAATTAAGAAATTGGTAAAAACCTTATCTGCAGGTCCAAGAGGGTAGTTCTAGCCCCGTATACATCCTCGGGTCATTACTGCTCACGGGGTCTCTCTCTCTTTTTCTCTCTCTCGGTTATTCTCAGTCTTTTTCTAGAGGCGATGTAACAGCCCCAAGAAGGCCCTTAGCTGACGGCAGCAGACTCCCCGCTGCAGGAAAATCGCCCCCTCTACACCTTGGTGATGGTGGGCACATTTTAAGCCATTTGTAAGTTATTAAGAATTGCCTCTTACTCAAAGTCCAAGATGAAAATGGACCCCTCACTGAGAGGGTCAGGCACTTCCTGCACTAAGTAACCCAGCTCCCCAGAGGTCTCTACCCAGGCTGCACTTTAGAAACACGTGGAGAAATTTTAAAATCTGCCGATGCCCAGGACCTACCCACATCTACTTAAATCAGAGTCTCTGGAGTGGTGCCCAGACATTAGTCGTCTGGAAAGCTGATTCTAATTTGCACCCCAGGTTGAAAACCACTGGTTTCACCATGTCATTCACAATATCACAGGAGCTCTACTTCCACATTCTTCATCTCATACTTCATAATCCCCTTTTGAGGCAGGCAGGGAAGGGGTGGTGGTTATTATCACAAGTTTGTCTATAACAAAATACAGGTTCAGAGGAGGTAAGTGGTTGGCTTAAGGTCACACAGTTAATACACATTGGCCTTGAAGCACAGACTCCAAATTATGCCATAGTCAGCAGACAAGAAAAGAGGATGGTTTGACAAGCCACTGAAGAATGAATGTTGATGCAAAGGGCAGGTGGTTCCAGTGCATTCTGGAAAGGTCATGGGATGAGTCACAGGAGCACAGGGACAGGGATTTGGCATCAGGCCAGAGATTCTGCATTTCTTTTTTCTTTTCTTTTTTTTTTTTTTTTTTAGACACAGTCTTGCTCTATTGCCCAGGCTGGAGTGCAGTGGCACCATCTCAGCTCACTACAACCTCCGCCTCCCAGGTTCAAGTGATTTCCTGCCTCAGCCTCCTGAGTAGCTGGGACTACAGGCACCTGCCACCACACCTGGCTAATTTTTGTACTTTTAGTAGAGACAGGGTTTCACCATATTGACCAGGCTGGTCTAGAACTCCTGACCTTGTGATCTGCCCACCTCAGCCTCCCAAAGTGCTGGGATTACAGGCACAAGCCACCGCGCCCAGCCAGATTCTGCATTTCTAACAAGGTCCCAGGTAACACTGATGCTACCAGTCTGAGGACCACACTCTAAGCAGGAAACCACTGACTGGCTCTTAGAGGCACAATGTGGAAGAAACTACGATTATAACTACAGGTGAGAAGTAGGCCAAGGGACAGACATAGGCTCTGGACTGCTTGTATCTTTTTTTTCCTAGATTCAGGGGATAAACATGCAGGTTTGTTACGTTATGCAATAGCATAATGCTGGGGTTTGGGCATCTATTGCACCCATCACCCAAATAGTGAGTTTACTACCCAGTAGGTAGTTTTTCGTCCTTTTCCCCCTACTCTCCCACCTTTTAGAGTCCCCAGTATCTATTGTTTTCTTCTTTAAGTCCATGTGGACTCATTGTTTAGCCCCCACTCATAAGTGAGCACATACGGTATTTGATTTTCTGTTTCTACATTAACTCACTTAAGATAATGGCCTCCAGCTGCATCCACGTTGCTGCAAAGGACATGACTTCTTTCTTTTTTATGGCTCTGTAGTATTCCATGGTATATATGTACCACATTTTCTTTATCCGATGCACCATTGAGGGACACGTAGGTTGATTCTATGACTTTGCTATTGTGAATCGTGCTGCGGTAAACATGTGACTGCAGGTGTCTTTATGGTAAAATGATTTATTTTCCTTTGGGTGGACACCCAGTGGTGAGATTTCTGAGTTGAATGGTAGTTCTGTTTTTAGTTCTTTGAGAAATCTCCATACTGTTTTCCACAGCAACTGAACTAATTTACATTCCAACCAACAGTGTGTAAGCATTCTCTTTTCTATGTATCTTCACCAAGATCTTTTCTTTTTTTACCTTTTAATAATAGCCATTCTGACTGGTGTGAGATGGTATCTCATTGGTTTTGATTTGCATTTCTCTGGTGGTTAGCGTTGTTGAGCAGTTTTTCATATGTGTATTGGCTGGTTGTATGTCTTCTTTTGAGAAGTGTCTATTAATGTCCTTTGCCCAGACAAAGGGCAAAGGTGTTATTTTTAATGAAGTTATTTGGTTTTTTCTTGATTTGTTTAAGTTCCTTATAGGTTCTGGATATTAATCCCTTCTTGGATGCATAGTTTGCAAATATTTTCTCCCATTCTGTAGGCTGTTATAAACTCTGTTTATAGTTTCTTTTGTTGTGCAGAAGCTCTTTAGTTAGGTCCCCATTGTCAATTTTTGTTTTTGTTGCATTTGCTTTTATGGTCTTAGTCATAAATTCTTTGCCTAGGCCAATGTCCAAAAGAGTTATTCCTAGGTTTTCTTCTAGGATTTTTATAGTTTGATGTCTTACATTTCAGTCTTTAATACATCTTGAATTAATTTTTGTATATGGCGAGAGGTGGGATCCAGTTTCATTCTTCTGCCTATGGCTAGCCAGTGGACTGCTTATATCCTGAGGAAGAACATCTGCCTGGATATACTCCCTTACTGAACACTCAGTGGATGAAAAAAAATGGCCAAAAAATACACATTTGCTAGCCATTCACTGACTGCCAGTTTGCAATCTTATTCCAGGCCTTTTGCATCTATTTCTAGAATGAGACATTGTTGAAACTCAGAGAGTGCATGCCTTGGCTTGAGTTGTGGCTGTAGTTGAGTGTCTTCTGCTATAAACATAGGAGGTATCATTATAAGATGAAAGAAGGTTAATTCTTTTTTTTTCTCTTTGAGACGAAGTCTTGCTCTTGTCCCCCAGGCTGGAGTGCAATGATGCAATCTCGGCTCACTGCAACCTCCGCCTCCCGGGTTGAAGCAATTCTCCTGCCTCAGCCTCCCAAGTAGCTGGGATTACAGGTGCCTGCCACCACACCCAGCTAATTTTTGTATTTTCAGTAGAGGCAGGGTTTCACCATATTGGCCAGGCTGATCTCGAACTCCTGACCTCAGGTGATCCACCTGCCTCGGCCTCCCAAAGTGCTGGGATTACAGGCGTGAGCCACCGCACCCGGCCGGAAGTTAATTATTTAATTCTCCTATTTGTTCCTAGCTCTGAACAGTTGGGTCCAGTGGCTGTCTGGACCTAAGTCTTTACTGTGTGATGTCATGTGTCTTGCCTCGATTATCTTGTGTCATATGTCCTGACTGTCAAGTGGCTCCAATTACTTCACCTTTTGCTACAATCAGAACATTTGTAATCATTCATTTAAATTCTATCTTCCTGGCTGGATGATAAGCTCCATGAGGGCAGGAGCTCATCTTCAAGAACAGAGTATGCAGCAAAGAGTAGGAGTGCAGTAACTATCTGCGAGTGAGTAGATGATGATCTCCCTTAAGGACTAATCCCAGGAAGGATCCTGGTGGATTGCCTCAGAAGGCTAAGGATGCCATAGCCTTCACACCATCCCTGGGTGGCCAGTCCAGTTCTCTCTCTTTTGCCCGGCCTGATTGGCCTAAAACACAGAACAGGAAGATGGAGAGAGCTCAGCTGCTGGCTGGCCCCTGGTCCCAGAATAGACAAGACAGGGCTGCATCTTGCTGACATGCTCATACCATCAGCAGACTCTACTTTAAACTGTAAAGTTCCAGGGAGCAGCTGAGGAGGGGGCAGTTTAGAATATAGCCAAGTGGCTGGAAAGTGAGGAACTTCTCCCCTTCCCTGGTCCCTGACCCATAGAATGTAAGAAAGTGCCAAGGAGCTTCCTAGGATGGAAAGTTGATTGACTACCTCTAAGAGGAAAGCCTGGCAAAGATGAGAGTGTCTCCCTATATAGATATGCAATTTTATTCATGCTGACATTGATTGGTTCCTACAACGTGCCCTTGCTTGACAGCCACTGTGAACATAAGATGAATAAGACAGTCCCTGCCTTGAAGGAATTCATGACCAAGGGTAGAGAGAGAAGACAAGGCAGCAGGTCCCAATAACCTTAGAAGATTTAAGAGGAGGAGGAAGTGGTTTCTGAGATGGATGAAAAGAAAAAGGCCTCCTGAAAAGGAAAGAGATCTCATTTTTTAAGAAGACAGAAGGAAAAAGCAGGTAGAGAAAACAAAAGAATAAAAAGTATAGAAGCAGAGAAATGCAAGTCAGGTGCAAATCTGGCAAGTAGACTGGTGTAGGGGAGTCTGGAACCCGCATTCATTCAGCTTCCTTGTGTGGATTGCTAGGTGAAAACTGACAGACTACTTCTCTGGTCACTGGAAGGTAATGCAGACAGTTCTTCAGTCACTTAAAAATGCAAAACACAGGCTTTTTAGTAATCAGCATGCTCATCCAGTCACAATTTCAATCTTGCTTTAAAGTCATCACTTCTTGCCCTCTCCTGCCGCCTCCAAACTTGGTCCTATTGCAGATGGAAAGCCTGAAATGAGAGAAAGGGTGTGGTCAGTGGCCTCTCTAGTTCTCCACCCAACCTCTCCTCCTCTTCTGTCATCTTGTTGACTTCTGACTTGTTGGGGTTGTAAGCATAGACACAGAAAGGATTTCAGGGGAGCAAGAAAGTTCTTATTGGAGACTGTTGGGTAATCTTGCATTGGTGTTCTCTGGATGTAACAAATGTCCAAGGCTTACTGTTTCTCACACAGGGGCTTTTGGGGTTCCTTTGTAGATCCACCTTTCTCCTCATCCCCTCCACCATGGCTTAGAATTTTTCGCCTTGACTTAGGGCACATGCATTTTTTTTTTTTTTTTTTTTGAGACAGAGTCTTGCTCTGTCACCCAGGCTAGAGTGCAATGGCACAATCTCGGCTCACTGCAACCTCTGCCTCCCAGGTTCAAGGGATTCTCCTGCCTCAGCCTCAGCCTCCTGAGTAGCTGGGACTACAGGTACCTGCCACCACACCTGGCTAATTTTTGTATTTTTAGTAGAGTCGGGGTTTCACCATGTTTGCCAGGCTGGTCTCAAACTTCTGACCTCAAGTGATCCACCTGACTCGGCCTCCCAGAGTGGTGGGATTACAGGTGTGAGCCACCGTGCCCGGCCAGGTATGTGCATCTCTATTATAGGTGGTCACTTCCACCTTCCTCCACTCTTGGGCATCTCAAGATACCGGCAGCTTCTTCCTACTATTGTCTATTTACCTCCCTCTTAGGCAAGATCTACAGTGACCCTGCATGGGCTCCCCTATACATGGTTCTCCTCCCACCCATATGCAACACTCATGCATTTCTGCCCCAGCAAACTCTGGGAGTGTAGGCCACCCGATGCTGCCACCTTGCCTTGTTCTGCCATCAGAGCAGCTAGCCAGCCCCTAGTTCAAACTTTAGACCTTCCAGGTAGGAGACAGACACTAATCCACCGTGTTTCCAAAACTGCAGGGGTAAGTATCAAGTCCTTGATATGGTATCATAAAACCATTCTCTCTTGACTTGAGATGAAGATGGAACACCCTTCCCACCTTCTTCTTAGCAGGAGAGTGAAATGGAACTCGTGGTATGCCAAAAGCACCTTCCAAAAACTCTCTCCTAATAGTCAACCTCCAGCATTTTGTAATATGCAAAGTATGAGTGAAGGGTTAAGAATTATGTCATTCATTTTTATCCACCTCTCTTGAAAGTTCTGCAACCTTGTGCTCTTACACTTCCCTTTGAAATGCAGCACCCACTGCCTCCATGCTTCAGCCAAAATGCCTTTTTAATATTTTGTTACATCAATTATTATTTCAGTTAACAGTCCCTATAACCCTATAAGAGATAAAACTATTCTCATCTTAGAGAATAGGAAACTGAGCTTCAAAATGATTAAATAACTAGGCCAAAGTGGTAAAAACAGGTTTTGAATTCAGAACTCTCTGATTCTAGAGGTCTTAGACCATTCTGAAATGGAGAATTCATGTGACCCAGCATAAGTGCTTAACAAATATTTGTTGAATGATGAAAAAGTTGATTTCCTCAGATAATAGAGGAATGTAAATGCCATAATTTTTGACAGGGCATGAGAAACCATCGACAGTTGTTGAGCCCAAGTCACAGATGAGCATGATCAACAGGAGAATGTGATAGAAATATACAAGAGAATTCGGAAGAGAGAAAGAGTGGAGAGGGAGAGGCACTTTAGGAGACTCTGAAGAGTTCAAAGAGTTATAAAGGACATGGGTACTCTATTTTGCTAGAGTAATGAGGAGATTATCTAGAAACCAGGTTGAAAGAACTTAAAGAGAGAATGAGCAACAAGTAACTAGCGGCAGCAGTTACATCCCAGCTGTTCAAGATGTGAGCATCTGAATGGGGCAAAGAAATGGTTACAAGCCAGAGGAGCCCAGAGGATGAAATAAAGGATATTTCTCCAGAATGGGTGAACCTTGATCTTATTTGTAGACAAAGGAGCCAAAAGATTGACTCTGAGATGCTGGGGAAAGGAGGGAAAGGAGGGCAGTAACTAAAAGAGCAAGGACTGGGGGAGAGAAAATGAGCTGGGCTAACGTGGAAGACAGTGAAGGATGCAGCTTCCTCTAAGAGAGAAAAGGAAAAGAAAGGAGGATAAATAAACACTGGGCCCACAAAAAAGAGAGAAGGGGACTGAAGGAGATTGTTCCTGACATAGTAGATCTTCTCAGTAAAGTAGAAATCAAATCAGTGGATTAGGAGGTGGGAACCAGGGGGTGAGAGTGTCAGTATGCGAGGGAGAGTTTGAAACACCCATTGTACTATGTGTGTCTGGAAATCAACTGTGGAAATCAAGAGAGAATGAACAAGTACCACCTCACATCCAGGGCATTGAGACTCAACAGTCTGAATTCATGGAAGTTCAAATTAGCAGTATTCTTCAGCCAAGGAGCAAAAGGAGAAAGCATCGTGATCCCAAGCTAGGCACTGCATGGCATGGGCTGAGAGCTGAAAGGGTTTACAGTTAGCAGGGGTAGAGTTGAAATTTCCAATCATGGCTTGTACAAGAAAGCTAAGTGAGGCCAGAAAAAAAAATTAACAGATTCATTCATTTATCCTAGGAGGTCTCAGTAGAGATGCATATTTGCTACCCAGGATATGGAGAAATGGGAAAGGTGTAAGTGAAGTGTCTGTGGTTATAGACCAGGCTTACAAGGTCCAGGGACTCAGAAGTAAATCAGTCCCTGGGGGCCCCAATGCCCTGGTGTGACCTTATTAGTGAAGGGTTTGTATGCAAGAAAGTGGGAAGTTTGGGGCTGCCGTGAGTCATGGTTCTTAACCTCTTCAATCAAATTGTGAGGCAACCATGTATCAAGGACTGGAAGACAAAGGAGTGGTAATTTACAAAGAAGCAGGTATTCAGAGAGAATCAGTAAAAAGGGGGTACCTTTACTCTGACGAAACTGCCAGTTTACCATAAGACATATTTTACCTTTCTTTCTACAATAACCACCATTTTTTCTTACAGGATTATTTTAGGCAATGATATGATATAGTTGTCCTAGGTTTTTAAACACAAAGACCAGAAACCTTGTTTATAGTATGTCCTACCTCTGAATATGATCGTACTTAAACTTTCTTACAAAGGTTATTAGTTACAATTTTCTTTCAAATGTTTAGGAACAATGCCACAGAAACTTTTAATAAAGACACAATGAAAAACACAGTTGTAACTTCCTTTTGGCGAAGTGGGCATCCTCTTCGAAAGATGCCCATATTAAAAGATCTTGATATGTAGATTTTTGTCTGGCCTTTGCCTGCCAGTGGCCACAGGTGTCAAGTCATTGGGTCTTTAGTTAGCTGACATGTGACATGACACCATTCAAATGAGATTATTAGAGTCTTTGGGGAAGAGAGAAAAATCTATGATACCTAAATCACTAAAAGAAACTGAGTCACAAAATCATTTGTCCAAGGTCACAAAGTAAATTGGGGCCACAGGCAAGAATCTTTGGCTACTCTTTAGGAAGTTCATTTACTACCCCATTGATCTTGATATCACCTTACAGGCAGAATCTTGTGAAAGGTAGGATGATAACATCAACCTGAACAAAGTTCCAAAACTGCCCATCAGTTGTCCCTGCCCAAGAAAAAAAATTAACAGATTCGTTCAGTTATCCTAGGAAATGGGATACTTGAACTTCACTGAAAGCCTCTTGGTGAGACAGGTGGTGGGCATCCAGCTCTTCTCACCAGGCTGAACTCAGCTGAGTCTCTTATAAGGTCCTTGAAACTTCAGTGGAGAATTCCAGAAAGGGGACCTTTCAGCAATCATACCTTGTCCTCTGACTCTTCTCGCCCTCACAGCTCCGAATGTCCTGGCTCATTCGTGGAGTCTTGAGGGGAAACGTGTCCTTGGTGCTAGTGGAGAACAAAACCGGGAAGGAGCAAGGCAGGATGGTCTGGCATGTCGCCGCCTATGAAGGCTTGAGCCTGTGGCAGTGGATGGTGTTGCCTCTCCTCGATGTGTCTGACAGGTAGGCTCTATGCATCTCCCCCAATACCCTTCTCCTCTATCAGCTAAAATGAAAAAGAAATCATGCCTTCCCTTTCCCCGTGCCTTTTACCCAAGACACACATGCAGATGTGCCCACACACCGATATGTGCGCGTGCACGCACGTGCACACACACACACACACACTCTGCAGGTTACACACTTTCTGCAGTTTACAAGCTTCTCCAAGGGATGAAGAGGCTACTGAACACTTGTCTCGGGACCACTGGTATGGCCTGGTTGGCTACCCCCAGTGTCTGGAGGAAAAATAAAATTGAACAACTCACATTTCCCCCAAATAACAGTTTGGTTTTACATGTATATAGCATGTTCTCTTATATGATAGACTTTGCCTTACTTTCCCCACTTTTATTTTATCCTTATTAACAAGAAAACCTGCAAGGTAGGTAGGACAGGCCTTATCATCATTTACCACTCCTGTCCTGTTATAAGGGGAGAAACAGAATCAAAACGGTGAAGTGCCAGCAAGTTGGAATCGGAATTGGGACTGGTGCCCAGGCCCGACTCCGAGTCCAGTGTTCTCTGTTGAGTCAGGTCCTGAGGCAGGTTGATAAAGAGGATGGCAAATTCTTCAGTAAACAGAGGAATGCTTCTACTTGTGGTCTTAGTTCCTATTTGGGCTCTATCACTAATGGCCTCTGTGACTTTGAGCAACATCCTTGACTTCTTTGGGCCTCAGTTTCCTCACCTTTAAGCTGAGAGGTTTGAACTAGAAAATCATTAACTCCACGTGGCTCTGCAATGGAGCAGGAACCATGGAGTGTTCACTGCCACTTGTCTCCCAGGATGGCACTATTCTGCCACCTGCAGTCAGCCTGGAGCAAGCCGTACTTGAATAAAGATGGCCCTGCATGGCAGCACTCATGTGACCCTGCCGTATCATCCTGAACCCTCATGGTGGGTGCTGATCTGTTCCAGACAAAAGAGGGGCGAGGGGCCATTTCTATAAAGGGGACAGATAAATGGATCTGGATGGGGGACAGCCATCTTTTATGGGCTAAAAGTCAACCCTTACAACCCACAGCAGCCTCTGCCTGAGACTCCTAAAACACAATCAAATTACCATCCTGGTGGATCCACCTTCAAAAAATGAGGACAGAGGGCTCAAGGCAAGGTGGAGGGTGATGCTAGTTGGCATGCAGCTTTATAAGTGTAAAGCTGGTTTCACATTTTTCGCCCAAACCCCACAGTCTGCTATGTCCAAGAGCTCATAACTGCATCAGTGCTGTCAAAGGACAAAGGCATTGTCCTCACTCTGAGCACTAGCTACCCACTCCTTCAGATGTGTGTGGGTTAACGATCAAAGCCCAAGGACATTCCAAGGATCAGTGACCCCAGGACAAATGGATTTAAGTGGAGAAAGGAGGAAGTGTGAGCTCTGCCCACTATAGTTTAGTCTTTTGTCTTTGGGGATTGTGGAGCTGCATGCAGTTGGTGGAGAACAGGAGGGTGGTGAAAGAATCCTCCCTCCTGGGAGAGGTGAAATTAATTCAGATGAATCAAAGTGTTTTTTTTCTCCTCAATCCAGCAAGTCTTCTCTCTTTCATAGCTACTCCAGGGGATTTAAAGTAAGATGTTGACTCGGTTCACTCTCATCCTCTAGAGTTTCATTTGAAGGAGACTTCGTTCTCAGCCTCCTTCTTCCCTGTTAAAGGCTGTTTACCAGACTAACATTTCCAGTATTGATACTGAGACCAAACTGTCCAGTGGGGATTCCGACAAAAGACAGCTTGGTTTGATGATGCCTTGTGACCTAATAAGTGTACAATTACAGAAAACAAGAGTGCTTCCATTCGCTGGGAGCCTGCATACCACTGACATGCTCTGAGGTTGGAAGCTGCCCTCCCAGAGGTACAGATGATATGGGAAGCATCAAGATCCAGAGGCAAATGGTACTGAAGGAAAATGAAGTGCAGCAGTTTTCATTCGCTAAAATCAAACTAGACTGTAGATGTGACTGGCCCCAAAGAAACCAAAGAAGCACTCTAGATGAAAGGGCAGAGGCTTTGGAATCAAATAGTGCCAAGTTTGAAAACTGCCATGGTCACTTACTAGTTGTGTGACCTCAGCCAATTACTTAAGCTCTCTGAGCCTCAGTGTCCTCATCAGTAAAATGAGAATAATAACAGTATAATTTCACAAGATTGTTATGAGACTAAATGAAATGACTATTGAAAGAGTCTACACAGAGTATTAATAGATTTTATTTTCTGCATCTTTCAGTTATTTGGCCTCAGTAATAATTTATTAAACAAATAGCACAAATCACAACCACTGATCTTCCAAGTCAAGCCATGTTCTATAAAACAGACAACACAGTCTCCTCTTAGGTTTGGAGAAGTAAAGTGCTTGTTTAACTGCCTGATCCACACTAAATGCTCAACTACTAATAACTATAGTATAATAATGACAATATCTCCCCACCTAATGGCTCAGAAGGGTCTGGGATGGCCAATTTAGCAATATAACCAGTCATCCAACCCTTAGATAAAGGCGGGCTTCTTATGAATTTGTTTTCACAATGCTCTGTTGACTCCTTATGAGAAGTCACTGATGGAGGAGCAAAAAGCATTCTCTTCCCTCTTCCTTCAGGGAGAGTCAGCTATAGCTGCCCAGATTGCTAGAAGATGAAAATGGGAGAAAGGAGAAGGTAGAGGAAGACATAAGCAAGGAAAATAGAAAAATAGGATGGATAAAAGACAAAGAAAAACCAACTCTCTTCCTCCCACCTCTGAGGTAGGCGGTAACACCTGGCGCCACCTGCCCCACATCCCATGAAGCTTCCTTAGGCAGCTCCTGGCTTCAGCTATTCAGCACCTACTTTGTGGACAGCTCCCCAACCCTGAACCTTGAAAGCGGCAGAAATTTTATTCCCTATGCTGTCCCAAATCACCTCTGCTCCCAGGTTCCTCAACCTTCACACATTACAAAATTTTTAAAGTAACTTTATTAGGGCTTAGAGGTTAGCACTTAAGAGACTCCAGGCTCTAGTCAACGGTATTGGAAATCTGACCATTTTCCTATTTTGGAAATCCTTCTGTGGCTTCCTGTGGCTTTGGGGATGCCTTTAAAACTCCCTAATAAGACCTTTTTTAAGCCCATGTGTGATCTGTCCAGCGCTAGTTTCACCAGCTGCTTCTTAAACCATTCTTTCTCTCTCAATCTCCCCTTCCTTCCACTCAGTTGTACCATGCTACATTCTTACTTCTAGGCTTTTGCAGTTGCCATGTTAAAGGCATGTTAAAGTTAAAGGAAGAACTTAATGTTCTGCCTTTACTTTCCATCTCTCTAAATACTACTCTTCCTTCACTTAAAAAAAATTATCCCCAGACACCTATACTCTATATGTACCCACAATATATTCTCATGGCTCTTGAAACATCCCTATAATAATTTATCACTCTTTATTATCTTTTTTATATCTGAATATACAAACTAACAAGGTAGGGATTGTGTGTGTCTTATAAATCACTGCTTCCTGAATCTTTAGTACCATACTTAACATGTAGTATGCCCAATAAATATGCATTGACAGAATGATGTATTGAGGGAAATTGCATATACTTTCAAATTCCAGTTGAATAAACTGAGAATTTCACTTGATGGAATCTATCTAACATTCCTCCTCTCTTCAACCTGTGTCCGACAAAACAGATATGATTGCTTTATAATAAATACTACTGCAAAGTGTTCTGTATATCAGAGCAACACCTGTGTCCCATCAGATGAACCAAAACAGCATTTGTTACTCTGTGACAAGGAATTATCTTTAGGGACTTGCCTGGTACCTGTGCTTTCTTTGTCTCTGGTCACATTCCTGTTGGAATCACTTCATAAGAAAGACTTTGATCCTAATTGGGTGCCCTGGTCCTTGTGATAGAGAGAACTAGAGTTGTGCACTTGAGAGAAAAGGGCTCTAGTCAGATTGCCCCCACCACACAGTAGTCCTCGGGAAGGCTCGGTGAATAAGTCATAGGTACATAAAGCCTGGTGACAGGGAGGCATTGATCCATGGAATGATATTTCTTCTGTCCACTTACAAACATGTAAAGCGATAGAAGGAATGTAATAGTCTGTCATCATTACAGAATTATGTTAACTGTACAACCATAGTATAATGAGTAACAGGAAAAATCTCTAAGAGCAATGCCTAAGATGTTTTGAGCAGTGGCAATGTCCTCTGAATACAGATAAATGCTCTCAAGGTAATTTTGAAGGACAACACCAATTCAAATATCAGCTTGATGTGTGCTTAAAAATTATCTCATTACTTTACATCCACCTCACATAGCTACTTTTCCTCATCCTCTCCCCACTTTATCAGCCCCACCTCCCTCATTCAATTGCTGCTCTTTCTGCTGGAATTAATTCTACCTTTTCTCAAAATAGAAGAAAGGCAAGTTCTCTCTCCTGATTCTAATTGTCAGTCTCTTGCAGAGATATACCCCTAGTTTTTCCTCTCTCTATATATCTTACTAAATTAAACACAATGTTCCCACACTATCCTAAGCTTTGACACGCTTACAGAGCAGAAGCCATGCTAAGTTCAACTCGTTATGAGATGGATTTGGAAACACCATGGATCAAATCATGTCCCACAAATCACTGCAATTGTACAGTCAAATATAAAGTACACAACTTATCACACCTGTGCAGGCTCCATTCCTCAGCACTATCATTATAAAGGCTTTTAGCCGTACACTACATACATAGTCTAACAAGAAAAATTGTTCCTTCTGGAGATATTTAGATTTCCTGTTCCCTTTGCAATCCTTTGTCCTAAACGACAAGTGGTGTGTTTCACCAATGCATCTTTCAAATGAGATGGGTTAAACTGAGAGTTATGTCTTCATGCATTTAGACCAGAAACTCCATAGAGCCAAGATTTTTTTTCTATTCAATTTTTATCACCGACAGAATTCTCATTTTATGTGGGATGCTGTCAATAACAACACTCTCCCTTTGTGTAGCATCTTTCTGTGATGAGAAAGGCATTGAAGAGCGTCTTTTATTACTTGTTCTTATCTGTGTAGAGAAATAGTAGATTTCAGTGAGTGGAAATCCAGAGATTTCCGGTAAGCCTCAGTTTGCAGGTCTAGACACACCCCTAAAAAAATTCTGCTTAATTCACATTTCTGTTAATTGAATCACAGCATCCTGATAAAGCCATTTAAGAGTTATAAATGATGATTAGAGCTAGCGTTTGTTGAGTGCTTACTGCCTGCCAGTCATGTAACAAGTACTTAACATGCATTATCTAATTTCATCCTTAAAACAACCCCTTGGGGTAGATATTATAATTAATCCCCTTTTTAATATGAGAAATCTGAGGGCTATGGAGGTTAAATAATTTTCCCTTAAACTTTAGGCTGGTCTGCCTCCTATGTACTGCCTGAGGAAGTGATGCATGGGGCTTGGCATGTAGCAGAAACTTGAAAAACAGTAGCCATTGTTGTTGTTTTTTAATTTTTTAATTTAATTTTTAGAGACAAGGCCTCACTCTGTCACCCAGGCTGGAGTGCAGTGGCATGATCACAGCTCACTGCAGTGTCAAACTCCTGAGCTCAAGCAATCCTCCTGCCACAGCCTCCCTAGTAGCTAGAACTACAGGCGTGCACCACCATGCCCAGCTAATTAAAAAAAAAAATTGTACAGACAGGGTCTTGCTATGTTGCCTAGGCTGATCTTGAACTCCTGGCCTCAAGTGATCCTCTTGCCTGGGCCTCCCAAACTGCTGGGATAACAGGCAGGAGCCATCGCACCTGGTCAATAGCCATTGTTACTAACAAAATATTTAGGTTCTTGGTTATTTTTAGGCCACATCTCTTATCCATTTCACATTAGTTTACTGCTTTCCCTTTGCTTCAACCAGCTCCTGAAATTCATCCTAGCAATTCCCACCACCACCTCCTGCTGCAGACCATTCCCCGCACGGCCCCTGCCTGCCTGCCTCTCCTCTCAGGCTCACAGCTGGAGTCTCCCCTTATCCTTCCAGGCCATTGTGTCCCCTCTCCAGGTGCCTCCCACTCCGGCATGCCTTTGACTATCCCCACACCATGTGTTTCCTCCCCAGCACTGGAGCACAGTCTCTGATAGGCATTTTTAATTTGCATATCTATTCATGTACCAAGTCTAACCAAGGCATAAAAATAACCTTTAGTTATACTGTACATTTAACAAATCGCCCTTTCATTGAGAATAAAGTTCACTGCTGTAAGGATCAACAGGAGACCCCAGCCACAAGGTTGGTACACTGTGCTAAATAGAGCCCTGCTTCATCTTTAGGAGCACATGGCCCAGGGGTGCCCCCCACATCTGCTCTTGTCCTCCTGCCTGTCTGCCCCTCCTAGGAGCATTTTCATCTGTAACTGCTCCGCCTCTAACTCCACCTCAGGAAAAAGGGATGCCTATGAGGAGGAGCAGACATCACTCGCCTACTGACCCTCTGCTGGACAAGCTGGCTGACAGTCCCAGCAGCTCCTGCGCCTCCTCACTCTGCCCACATCTCCCCATCCACGGCAGCCCTGTGCCCCCTTCCAGGGTGCTTGGCTCCTTCACAACACAAGGTTCTCACTCAGGCTCGCATCTGAGCAGCTAGGGTAGATGTCATTCCCTAATTTCAGCTGAAAAGACAGAGGCCCAGAGGGGTTTAAGAACTTGCCATTAAACATAGAGGCCCCTCTGTGGAGGTCCTTCCTCCCCTCCTTTCACTTCACGAGACAGCATCCTGTGAAGGTTTCCAAGCATGAAATGTACAAACCTCCAAAATCCCCTGAGGCATTATGTCCACCAACATTTACTGCAGTGTTGGGTGCCAGGTGATGGGCACACCCAGACAAGCAATACAGCCCCAGCTCTCAATCTCCATCTAATTAGGGAGGCTGGCGGGAAGACAAGACCACGGCATCACAGAACACGAGTCCTGGGAGCTGGAGCAGAAGGAGCCCAGTAAAGCCCCAGCTGTTGGGGCTCCTTGCTTCCCAACAGGCACCTGTCTGGTTGCCAGTGGTGAGTCCTCCCTCTGCTGGGCATTCCCACACGAATAGAAGCAGAGAGCAATGACTACCACCCCAGGTAGACATGCATTTGCTCATCCACTCTCAGCAGACACATGCCAGGAACTTACCCCAGAGTAGACCTGCAGGCTCCAAAGTTGGAAATGGGGCAGAAGGGAGAGGAATGTCTCACCTGCCTCTCGCGAGGGGAGTTGAATTGCCCTGATGCCATATATATATATACACTTAGGCAAAACCGATTCGTTCACATGGTGAGTGAAGAAAATAAAAGGTGCTCTCTACTCATGACCTGCTGTGGCAGCACAAGTGTCCCTTCCCGAAGCTACAGGGGCTGGGGACATTGACATGCTTATTGGCATTAGGCTGAGTCAGTTCTTTGAACTGGGAGAAAATGGTGGTCTCAGAGGCAATTATAAGCCATGCAGGGTAAATTACATTGACTAAACCCATCAAGTCTTTCCCCAAGGGGTTCAAAACACTTCAAGTGCACACCATGCTTTATTCTCCTTACCTTGATGATAAGGGACGTGGGAGCAGAGTCCCTGGCTTCATCAGCAGCCTGCAAGGCTGAGGGGACTTTGGCAGGGCTGGGGTCCCACCTGGAGCCCATGGCCTGTGCCTCTTGGGGCCATAATGATCGAGGACAGGAGAAGAGGGATGGCATTCTCACTGAACCAAGCATCTGTGCCCGTTTATCTTCATCATTATAAGTCAGATTTTAATGACCTTAGTTTATCAATGAGAAACTGTGACTCAGAGTAGTTTAAATAATCTGTCCAGAGGCACACAACTAAGAAGCAGAAGAGTCAGGATTCAAAACACAATTTTCTTTTATTTATTTATTTATTTATTTATTTATTTATTTATTTATTTATTTTTTTGAGAAGGAGTCTCCCTCTGTCGCCCAGGCTGGAGTGCAGTGGCACCATCTCAGCTCATTGCAACCTCCACCTCCTGGGTTCAAGCGATTCTCCTGCCTCAGCCTCCCAAGTAGCTGGGCTTACAGGCATCCACCACCACGCCTGGCTAATTTTTGTATTTTTTAGTAGAGATGGGATTTCACCATGTTGGCCAGGCTTGTCTTGAACTCCTGAGCTCAAGTGATCTGCCCGCCTCAGCCTCCCAAAGTGCTGGGATTACAGGCATGAGCCACCGCACCCAGTTCAAGGCACAGTTTTCTAGCTCAAACACTCACCCTTTTCCAAACACCATGCTTTCATGGTCAAAAAATTTTTTCCATGAATCTCAGTGACAACAGGCAGCAGGTGTTATCACACATCAGCAGCTGATATGAAAGAACTGTGCTATGGCGCCTAGGCCTGGGCCACCTGAAGACCCTGTCAGCCGTGAAGAGGTCAGCCTGTACCTGCAGGGCCCAGCCATGCAGTTAAGAGCCAAAGAAAGGACTCTGACTTGTAGGAGCACACCAGGCACAGACTGGGGTGCCAGATCAGTCATCCAGAGAGGGATATGGGTGTGTGGTCAGGACCCAAGTGAAAAACCAGGACAAGACGAGGCCCCAGGCCTCCAGAACATGACAGAAACCCGGTCAATGAGCCTAAAGCCTATGCAAATAGCACATTAGCACAGGAGAGCTGCATCTGCATCCCGAGCCCTGGGCCAAGCTCCTTTATGCCCCCTGCCCTACTCAGACCTGTCCCTAGTCCTGGAGTAGTGCAGGAGTGTGCTGCAGAGGGGAAGGCTATAGCTGTGAAGGAAGAATACTGCAGATTCCTGCAGCCAGTCAAGGACCAAGTTCACCCATCCCTCCCACCCCCATGAGTGTGTTAGTCATCAACCCAACAATGCCAGGTGCACTGAACACACCTGAGTACCTAGGTATGTGCCACATGTATGTGAGAGGGGGTGACACTACCTGAAGTAACATTACATCTCCACTCCAGGAGCTGTAAACAAAAGAAATGTTATTTCCTGCTCGTGTGAAATTAAAAATAAGCATGCTGGTTGGTGGGTGGCCTTCCACCTGATCATTCAGGGATCCAGGCCCCTTCCACCCTTTTCCTTCCCTGAATGGAAAGGATTCCAAGGCCAGAGAAAAGGGTGGGCCTTTCCTCTGGCCTTGGAATCCTTTCCATTCAGCCAGTCGGTGGGCAAAGAGCTTAGGAAGCCTTGAACAGGAAGATTTTTATGAATCATCACTTCTGCTCCGCTCACATTGCCTCCTTTGCCATCTGCTCTCTTTGGATTTCCTTACTGACTTTTTGTTTGCCTTATCTGGGCTGGTTTTTATGCTTCGTACCTAGGAAACAAAAATTTTCAGTCATTGGGATTTTTTTTCAGGGTTAGAATTACCACACTACCTGTAATATCATACTGTGGCTTCTGTATCATCATTTAAGGTTTCTGTCTAAAATTGGCACATGTAAGAATCAAAGAAAATGGTTACATAATTCAGTTGAAGGTCTTGGTCATTAGATGTTAGGCATCTATTGTGTGTAAGACACAAGGCCAACAGTAACGCAGAATGATGTTGACCTGTTAAGTATTCTTTGAAACATGGCCTAAATGTATTTTATTATGAGCTCATTTTTGACTATTGTAAATATTAGTGGTTTACAATGTGCTTTCGTCGTATTTCCTAAAAATTCAAGCAGTGAGAAATAAGACTCCTCTGAATTTAGTAACTCAAAACTGATAACATTAAATGTGACTTGGAAAAACTCTAGAATACATGGTGCACACAAGAAGCGTTCAAGGTTCTGTGGATGAGTTTCTTAGCTTTTGCAATGCACCATGTTTCTCAAAGCTTGTTTTCATTAATAAAACATTTTATAATGTAAAAAAAGTCACATGGCCACACCTACTGCAAAGGGTGCTGGGGAATGTAGTCTAGCTGTGTGCCCAAATAAAAGAAGTGAGTTAGATTTGAAAAAAAAAAAAAAATGAGATGGTGTGTCACAGACTAAGTCAAGGAATATAGCTCTCATGTCTGGCCATCTATCAGAGTGTCACTTGAGAATGTCTCTTCTTCATTTAGCTATGCTGAGCATTGATCACGCTTCTTCTCCACAAAGCCTCATAACTCAAGGCTGAAATCAATTCCAGGTTCTATTCTAAGGTATGAATGTTTCATTCCCAAATTTTTATGATGCAGCAAAATCTTACTTTCTGGCAGAAACCACCTCAGAATTTCCCCCCACCCCCGAATTTGTCATTTCTAAAAACAAAAAATAAATAAATAAACAAGAGAAAGTGCTTTTGAAAAGGCTTAAAACTAGCAGGACAGTGTAGGACGATGGTTTCCAAACTTGGATGAACATTATGATCACCTGGAAAACGTATTTTTTTCTTTCAGAGCCCCAGATCTCATACACAAAGATTCTGATTCACAGATGACATATTGGGACCAGGAATCTGTATTTTTTAAAGTTCCCCAGTTGACTTTCATGCGTAACCACATTTGGAAGTCACTGGTATATAATGGCAGATCCAGGTATCTGGATCTGGGCAAGACAGGGAATCAAGAAGTGACTGGAGAAATGTCATTGGCTGACACATTGTCGGCAAACATATATTAAGCCTCCATCAAGCACAGAGGATGGAAAAGGATGTTTGATCAGCTCTTGCCAGATCACAGGACCTCCACAGGCAAACAGTAGCACACAGGCACCCTGCAGGTTCCAACAGATCATGACCAGGGTTCAGCAGGTGCATTGACGTCCAGATACAGGAGCAGTCAGATGAACCATCACGGAGAAAATGAGCTTTTTATAAACTGGTGCTTGAGGAAAATTTAAGTCTTAGAGAAATGGAAAAGGGACAAGGCATTCCAGAGAAGGCCTTCAGGGAAAGCAGAGGCTTGGAGATGCAGAAATGTTTTTTGTGGGTTCAAGAACAGCCAACCTGGTTGTGTCAGAGAATCCTGAGAAATCTTTTTGGGAGAGAGTGAGTGTGAATATTAGGCCAGGTGTTTTGGATTTAGGAATACAGGTAATAAACAGCCACTGAAGGCCAGGTGCGGTGGCTCATAACTGTAATCCCAGCACTTTGGGAGGCCAAGGCAGGCAGATCACTTGAGGTCAGGAGTTCAAGACCAGCCTGGCCAACATGGTAAAACCCCGTCTTTACTAAAAATACAAAAATTAACTGGACATGGTGGCATGCACCTGTAATTCCAGTTCCTTGGGAGGCTGAGGCTGGAGAATCACTTGAACCTGGGAGGCGGAGATTGCAGGGAGCTGAAATCGCACCACTGCATTCCAGCCTGGGCGACAGAAAGAGACTCCATTCCAAAAAAAAAAAGAGCCACTGAGGGCCAGGCACCATGGCTCACACCTGTAAACCCAGCACTTTGGGAGGCCAAAGTGGGCAGAACACTTGAGGCCAGAAGCTCAAGACATATGTTGGCTCCTGGCCAACATAGTGAAACCCCATCTCTACTAAAAATATAAAAAATTAGCTGGGCAAGGTGGCGTACCTGTAATCCCAGCTACTCGGGAAGCTAAGGCACAAGAATTGAACCTGGAAAGTGGAGGTTGCAGTAAGCCAAGATCACACCACTGCACTCCAGCCTGGGTGGCAGAGCTAGACTCTGTCTCAAAAAAGAAGAAAAAATAAGAAAGCCACTGAGCACGGAGATAGGCTGGAGGGCGGGAAGCACAGAGCATGGGGGATATTGGAAGGTCTTTTGAGGGGCCCAGTGGCAAGTGATTGGAGCCTCAGTGTGAAGCTCAGAAAGCGTGAAGAAAGAACCTGGAGGAGAAGAACCTTCTTCCTCTGCTGTCTTCCAAATGGCACCACTGGCTCAGGACAGCCTTGGGCGAACTTAAGTAGACATGGGCTACTTAAAATTATTAAGTGAACTTAATTAGGTTTGTCAATCCCTAAGGTTGGCAGGGTAGCAAATAAGGCAATATATTCACTGTCCATCGACAGCCTGTTGCCTGAACGAGATTGTGCATTTTCTGAGCTGTACGTGAGCAGCTTCAGCCGTTCAAGAAGAGGAGAAGAGATGCGGCCGGTGGCTCAGCACACGATGTGCAACCAGGCATTGATATATAGAAATCAAACATTCATAATTCTGGAAGGATCTGGCCCTGTTTCTTTCTCAGAAAATATCCCAGATCATTGGAGCAAGGAGTAGATTAGCAATTCTGAGCTTTAAATCTTATTTCTAACGCTGATTTACTGTGACGTTTGGGACAAGTTGTTGCTTTTGATTGCTAAGTTTCCACAATCAAGAGTGCAAAGCAGTGAGACAGATCCGGCCCATGAGCTTGGTTTAGGAGGCAGTTGCTCAAAATGGCACTAAGTGAACCTCTTTAAAATAACAGGATGTTCGAATCTGCTCAAGATTTTCTTGGTAACATCCACAGCTTGGCTTACAAGTCAACAGATGTGTATGTTTTTCATAATTCTTAATGTCTCGGAAAATGTAGCCCTGTGTTCTCAGCCCCTTCTTTCCCTAAACACAAAGCCTGCAATTTAGGAGATAATTGAGCTTCCAATATTTGAAGCAAAGAATCCAGTTCTATCTATGCTGCCCCCACCCCCGCGCCAGGAACCTCATCAATGCTCATAACTTCCACCCTTACCTCTATGCAGATGACTCAAATATCTTTATGTCCACCTGGGTTCCACACCTGGGTTTCCAGCTGCCTGACTGGTGTCCCACCCACACCTTCCACATTGCTCCCACCAGCACACCCCACTGCCTAGTGAGAGTTTCGCCCATAGTTCTACCATTCTCCAAGACTTTTCATTATTTTAAGTCTTTCTTGACTTCTCTCTCATTGTCCAGATGCAATGTTTTTCCAGCTTGAGTAGCTTCTAGCTCTATAGGGGGCACAACTAAAAGAGACTTCAGCAATTCCCGGTCAGTAAATAACGTGAATCACATCACTGACTGAAATCCTCGGGAGCAAGGTCCACGTCTTACACATCTCTACACTCCTAGCTATAGGCACAAGTATGTGATTTACAGTACCTGCGCAGATAATCTCTGCTCAAAGAAAGAGGGGGAGAGATGTCATTTGTGGCACTGCTTGAGGAAGCACATGTTACTAGTAAACATATAATATAAAACAGGAGCAATAAATTAGCATCTCATGCTAAACAAAGGGTTCCATTGTTGGGGGAAAAAAACACATCTTACATAGATTCTTTTAAAAACCAAGATGGCACCTTAAAAGTTTTGGCAACTTGCCCAGGGCCCCACCAACTATATAGACCCAGTCTTCACTCCACTCTACTTTTTGAAACTAGTCCTCACCAAGCAGAAAAGACTTCTAATTTACTCTCATAAAGATGCTTTTGGTCAGGCGAGAAGAGAGGTAGAAACCACCCTTTTTCTGGGTCTTCTCGCCATTGTCAGTGCTGCCATCTCGGTACCATGTCAGCTCCCCAAGCCGCAAGCCAACACAGCAACAGAGGACAGAGGAAATGTTTGTGTGTTCCAAGAAACGGGGAGCAGACATCCCTGTCCCTCCAAGAAGAATGGATGGCGGGCCTTTCTAGCTCCAGACAGCCCTCATGCCCCCAGTCATCCCAAGGAGCTTGCTCTACTTTTCCGATGGTACGGAGTACATATGAGACTAAATGAGATTCGACAAGTTGGATGGTTCTGCAAGAGATGATGGGAAAATTGGCCAGGGATGCAAGAGGCCTGAGCTCTCATCCCACATCCGCTACTATCTCCATTGCAACCACACAAGTCAAAAGAATGGCAGGGGCCCAAGAGGCACTTGAATCCTTCCCTAGGGCACTTGGCATTTGACTGTAGGTCGAGTATTTTTGTGCACAGGCCCCTCGCTTGCTGGACCATGGCTCCAGGAAGCAATGTCTTTCCTCATCAAAACCCAGGGCCCAGCAGAGCTCAACATACACTACACAGATTTCGAGAATGAAAGAAAAACAGGAACTTGCCAGAGATGGGTCTCCATCTGCTGTGGTGGAACATCCTTGCAGCAGGCCTTTCCAGTTGGTGACACACCAGAGCACAGGAGGGAGCCAGGAGCCTTTAGGCTGAGCCCCCGAAAGTGAGCACAGAATGCCTGGAAGCCTCAAACTGAGAATGTGGAAGGGTCTGAGTGATTCTCCATGCTTGCTCAGCCTGGCTGAAAATTCATTTTCTCTCTTATTTCTAGAAGGGCTTCCTCACCAAGCCAGACTCATTGTGAAAGATCTCTATGGCCCTTGAAAGCCCTGGAAGCTCTGTGTTGACTTTTACTCATGCTCCTGGTGTCGTTATGCCTAGAGGGGAAACCAAGGCAGGAGGTGGTAAATTACTTCTAAGAGTGGGATGGAGCCAGGAGGGGTATGTTCCCAACTCCTGAGTATGGCCTTGAATGTCCAGCTCATCTCCAGTTTACTGTGCAGAAGTTAAAGACTCCTAGAGCCAAGACACACATTCCTAGCCATGATTGCGTTTGACATGGCCAAGGATGGTCCCAGGAATCCAAAGCGGTCCATCAGCTCCCATCTTCATCTTAGAGCTGAAGTCCATTATACAGATAATAGGAGGGATGTGGCAGGGCTTTTTCTTCACATATATTATTCTAATAGATATGCCTACTGCGACCCAAGCTTCATGACAGCCCATTTTAGAAGACTTTTGCAGAGCAAATTAACTGTGCAGCGAGAAATTGGAGAAAGTGTTTTTCCTCTACAGTACCTGCCAGCTCTATCCTAAGCAGCCAGGGCCCAGACAAGCACCAGCAGCAAAAAGGGATGCAGGACACTCCCTTCTTCCGAGCCCACTAAATGGCCAAGGAAGGAATGTGAGACATGGTGCCCAGCTGGCAAATGCCTTCTACCCAGTCCAGCCACTCCATCCTGCTCTGCCCTCCAAAGCTTCGCCATTCCCTCCATCCACATCAGACACAAACCTTTCTGTCAGCTACTTAAAATCATTAAGTGAACTTAATTAGGTTTGTCAATCCCTAAGGCTGGCAGGGTGGCAAATAAGGCATTATATTCGCTGTCCATTAACAGTCTGTTGCCTGAATGAGATGGTACATTTTCTGAGTCGTACGTGAGCAGCATCGGCATTTCTCAGGCAGAGATCTGCCCGATGAGTCTCCGAGGCGCCCAATTCTGAAGCTGCCCTTCCAGACTTGGCCCACTGCCCAGATGGCCACCTCCCAGATCCCCGCTGAGTCTGTTTTCAAAAGGCGTCTCTGTAGAGCTGAATGAGAAGAGTCAGGGCGAATGCATTCTTTATGCAAAGCCAGCCTCCAACCAAGATCTCTAGCCAAGTCTGTTTTAATAACAAGTTCCAAACTCCACCGGCTGGAAAAAAGAAAAGAAAAAGCAACAACAACCCATGCAATCAAAAGTGTCCTCTTTGAAGAAACAGAAAGAGCTGAGCAGGTACGAACTATGAAGGGTCAGGAGCAAAATCTCTGCTGCTAAGCACTGGGAAAGAGAGGAGACTCCCCTGCCACGTTCTTAGGCAACACAGATTGGTGAGAGAGTGGAAGGAACCCCAAAGGGCTAACGCTTCCCTTCTCCTTGACCAGGCTGCCCACAGAGAGGAAGGGGAAGCCTCTTCTATCCTGGGGAACCCAGCCTCCTTTCCCCATCCAGAGCTGAGGTTTCAAAGTGGGGCAGAGGAGTAACTATGTTCTCTAGGATGGCCTGTCCCTCGCAGTCTTGGCAGTGATGTGTCAGGGTCCTTGCTTTCTTTCAGCCAAACCCAGGGTGGCTCATCTGGTATATGTCAGAACCTTCCCTCAGTCCCAGAGTGGTCTACATGCCAGAACTTTCCTTCAATCCTAGAATGGACCACCTGGTACATACTAGAACTTTTCCTCAGTCCCACAGTGGTCTACCTGGTACATGCCAGAACTTTTCTTCAATCCCAGAATGGATCACCTGGTACATACTAGAACTTTCCCTCGGTCCGAGAGTGGTTCACCTGGTACATACCAGAACCTTCCCTCAGTCCCAGAGTGGTACACCTGGCATATGCCACAACCTCCCCTCAGTCCCAGAGTGGTCCACCTGGTACATACCAGAACCTTCCCTCAGTCCCAGAGTGGTATACCTGGCACATACCATAACCTCCCCTCAGTCCCAGAGTGGTCTACTTGGTAAACACTAGAATTTTCTCCCTCAGTCCAAGAGGGTCCACCTGATACATGCCAGAACTTTCCCTCAATCCCAGAATGGACCACCTGGTACATACTAGAACTTTCCCTTGGTCCCAGAGTGGGCTACCTGGTACATTCTAGAACTTTCCCTCAGTCCCAGAGTGGTCCACCTGGTACATACTAGAACTTTCCCTGAATCCCAGAGTGGTCCATCTGTATATACCACAACCTCCCCTCAGTCCCACAGTGTTCTACCTGGTACATACTAGAACTTTCCGTCAGTCCCAGAATGGACCACCTGGTACATACTAGAACTAACCCCCGGTCCCAGAGTGGTCCACCGGGTACATTCTAGAACTTTCCTCCCATCCCAGAGTGGTCCACCTGGTACATACCAGAACCTTCCCTCAGTCCCAGAGTGGTACACCTGGCATATACCATAACCTCCCCTCAGTCCCAGAGTGGTCTACATGGTACATACTAAAACTTTCACTCAATCCCAGAATGGACTACCTGGTAGACACTAAAACGTTCCCTCAGTCCCAGAGTAGTCCATCTGTATATACCATAACCTCCCCTCAGTCCCAGAGTGGTCTACATGGTACATACTAGAACTTTCCCTCAGTCCCAGAGTGGGCCACCTCATACATGATAGAACTTTCCCACAGCCCCACAGCAGTCCACCTGGTACATGCCAGGACTCTTGCTCAGTCCCAGAGTGTGTCAGGTCCCAACTAAGTGTCAGGTCTACCTGGTATATAACAGAATTTTCCCTCAGTCCCTTGGTAGTCTACCTGGTACATACCAGAACTTTCCCTTAGTCCCAGAGTGGTCTACCTGATACATACCAGAACTTTCCCTCAGTCCCATGGTGGTCCACCTGGTACATGCCAGAACTTTCCCTCAATCCCAAAGTGGCCCAGCTAGTAAGTGGTAGAACTCCAGACCTGAGGCCATAGCTGACTCTGGAGAGTGACATGGTAGCTGTACTTCTGGGGGACTCACGGAAAGGAGTGGGTAGAACCAGGAGACTGCGAGAGCCTTGAGGAAGCCTTTCCCATCTCCAGCAAGGAGACAGTAAGCGGTGCCAGAAGCAACCTCTTCTTCACCTATCAGGTAAAGACACACAACCAGGCACCTTCGAAAGTAGGGAAACCTGAATCTGGGTGGTCCTGATGCCCACTCTGTCTCTGGGCCAGCACATCCACAGAAAAGAGCCTCCTAGATTGGTGCTGCTCTACCTGCTGACTGCCCATCACCTACCACCCACAGACCCCATTCCTAGACGGCCTCTGCTCCTGCCCCACCCTCCACCCATCCTTCAGCAGCTCACCTTTGTCCCACCTTTGTCCCACTGTCCCTTCCCTGCAGCCTCTGGGGGCTGGAGCCATGGGGGAGGGTTGGCCCATGGATGGACAGAGGCACCCATGTGTGGGTGGCCCCGGGTGGACAGAGGCAGCACTGCCTGGTTCCATATTGCCATCTGATTGAATCTTCCTGATGGTTGTGCGTGTTCCTGACTCAAAATATGTGCAATTCACAGTGTCAATCAAACTCTTTTAAGCAGCAGCTGCCACTGCTGTCGCCGCGCAGAGCACTTTAGAAACTCTTCTATTTAGAAACCATTCCAGCCTCAGCCGGCATCATCCCATCCATGCTAAGAGGCCCAGTGGCTGTGAGAGACTTCGCAGATCTAATCTCTTAGTAATAAGGAAGGAAGGCACAGAGAGGGGCAGGGAGACATGCAGCTTCCCAGGGAGCACCCATTTAGAGGATAGCCGCGATTCTGTCCCCCCCCCCAGGCACACACATGTCATTTACTCGCTCAAGCCCCTCTGGCCTCCTG
Organism: Homo sapiens; assembly: GCF_000001405.40. Taxonomy (NCBI): domain Eukaryota; kingdom Metazoa; phylum Chordata; class Mammalia; order Primates; family Hominidae; genus Homo; species Homo sapiens. Next base: position 29,278,933 of record NC_000002.12, on the reverse strand, counting down.
GAAGGTACACCCCTCATATAGCTCAGCATTGAAACCAGGGCCTGGCTTGGCCCCTGGTCCTGTGAATGACAGATTAGGAGATGATGACCTGGTGGAGAAATGTGCCCTGTGGGGGCACTCACCCCCTGATGTGCAGGCGAGCCAGGCAGCTGTGCCTTCCTGATGCTCCCACAGGGAACCTGAGTCCTTCTATTCACCCTCTCTGTCACTCTAAGTGCCTGTTTTCTTGCTACCTGGAAGCAGCATTTTCCTAAGGGTTGCACCTGCTTTAACAAGACAGCAGTATTAGGGCCCTGGTTTTCCAGTTGAGATCCCAGGCTTGGGCTTTGTCCAGGGTTACAGAGGCTCAAGCCAGAAACTCATCTATGGACTGTTTCCCATGGGGAGACCCCACGGAAATCGTGGCTATAACCTTGCCAAGATTTGTAGAGAAACCTGATGAAGGCGTGTGAGATGTGTGCAGAAATGCCTCTCATGCTGTCTCCCCTGCCTCTGCCTCCTCTCCTGGTCCCCATCCTGCTTACTACTCCCATCACAATTATCCTCTAAGAGGTCTTTGATCTTGCCACTGTCCTGTTAGAAACCTCCAGTGGCTCTCCATTTTCCCTGAAATAATGGCAGAACCTCCTTGCCTGATCTCTGTTCAGAGGTCCACACCATCTTTACCTCCTTCCTCACTCCTTGCTCCCCAGCAGGACAGGTCCTATCCCTGCCCACATGGCCCTCACACCAGTTCCTCTGCTCCAGACATCTCCTCCCTGCACTGCACTCCCACACCCACATCCTCAAGCCCTTCCCTGCATTCAAAACCAACTTAAATACTGTCTTCTCTGTGAAGCCCTCCTGCTCTCCCCACCCTGGTGTAATTCCCCCTTCCTCTGAGCTCGCACACTGCTGTATCTGCACCTTTATGAAGCATTGACCTCCTTCTACTTTATTCCACACCAAGGTACACACACTTCATCTTCACACTGGACAATAAGTAACTTGAATGCAGCGTTCATGTCGATTTCTCTTAGAATGCCCCATAGACCTATATGTAATAGCTTTACAGGAAACAAAAATAGGTGTGTATCAAGGTTGGAATGAGAGATGCCTCTCAGAGGCATACACCCCAGTGCCAGAGTGGCAGGGGCTGAGGGTCCTTGTGCTGTCCATCCCCTCTTGCACACTCATCTGGCATGCCCAAGCCACCCAGAACAGGATTTGAAGGTTCTCCATCAGGCACTTCTCCTTCCACACCCAACCACCAGCACACACTATCCTGACTGAGGGTAGCATGGAGACTTCTTCATGGGGAATATGGCCTGAAGGGCCAACCCCAGTGATGCTGGCCACGGCTACAACAGATTTGGGCATTTCTTCTTTAGAATCAAACCAGATTTGGGTCCTGTAATTGTGACTTTCAGACAGAAAGGATTGTTTCTGAATGACCAGATCTCACAAGATGGTTGAAAGCACAGATAAATGTATGGAGTAGTTCAGTTAAGCATAATCGATCACAGTTATTCGGATAAAAGTTTTGGGATTCAAGGCTTTGCTCCATGGAAACAGTAATTGTTCTCTGGCCAGGAATAACCAAGCCAGCATCTAACAAGCCAGCATCTTCTACACGTTGATCAGAGATCATCTGCACACAGGCGCAACGGGAGCTTCCAACCCCTGCTGTAGTTTACCCACTGGCTAAAGCTTTGCTGCCTCACTGCAAATCCATATGAGCAAATGCCCTTTCTTTCCATATCTCTTCCTCTGCATCTTTCCTCCCACTGTTGACATCCCATTTCTTGTCCTTGTTGTACCCTGCAGGCCCTGTTCTCTCCATGTTGCCAGTGCCACCCTGCTCTGGTTTTCTGCTCTTGACACCCTATGTGGCCAATGCCCTGTGGCCTGGGTTCCCTCTCTCTTCCTCTCTCTCCTTTTTTTCTAACACCTTTATCAGACTGTAATTTATATATCATAAAATGCACCCACTTTAAGTGTACAAGTCAGTGACTTCCAACAGATTTATAGAGCTGTGGAGAGAGCACCACAATCCCGTTTCTGAGCATTTTCATCACCCCAAAAAAAGCCTAGGTGCTAGTCTGCGGTCAATCCTGTGCCCACTCCCAGCCCCAGACAACCACTAATCTGCTTTCTGGCCCCACAGATTTACCTTTTCTAGACATTTTCTATCAATGGAATCATTCAATAGGCGGTCTTTCACCTACTGTCTGGCTTCTTTAACTTAGCATCACGTCTTTGAGGTCCATCCATTTTATAGCACGTCTCCGGGTCCATTTTTGACCATTGACTGGCGTCCCATCATATGGCTGTACCATATGGAGTTTGCCCAGTCACCAATGGATGGGTATGACTTCTTTCTCTTGGTGTTTTCATACCCATGCCAGAGACCACGCCCTGTTCTGCATGTCATTCTGGATTGACGTTCTGGAGGGTAGGAAAGGATTTTAAGGTTCTCAGGAAACCTTCACTTAGAGCAGGAAAGGGCCAGCTGACTCTGCTAGCCTTCCATGGGATGATTTCCCAGGAAACAAACAAACCAAAAGTACTTTCCTGTTTATGTCACTGTAAGGCCTTCCCTGGCCACAGTCTGAGAACCTGGCCCTCCAAGGATATGAAAGGGTGGGGGAAAGAAACAATATCTTAATGGGTTTGTTGTTAACACTTTTATGACCCCTGTGTTGGTTACAACACTTCCAGGGGTGATAGTCAAGTCGCTTAATATTTAACCACCAGGCAGGCAACCTCCAGTGATGCTGGATGAAACCCAGGATGCTTGAGACCCCTGCTGGGCTAATCAATGGATAAACCCTATGGGTGCTGGTTAATTGGGAAATTGAGGGGTCGGGGCAGCAGGGAAGGAGCCAGTTGCCTGAAGCAACAAGCAAGGGGAACTGGTGGAACTGTGGTTCTTTATTGGCTGGTACAGAAGCATTTTAATATTTTAATAATGACTTAAGCCCCACTGGCTGAATGTCAGACCTACCCATTTCTCCTGTTCAGTTCACCCAAACAGGACACCCAAGCTGGTATTTTTTTCCCCAACTCAGTGCCTTGAAATCACTCCCCGTTTACTGAACGAAGCAGTTACTGTCAGATTTCTTCCCATTTCCAAGCATCCTGCACACCCAGAAAGCAAAAGATTTCTCCTCAGATTATCAGGGAGTCCTGGTCCCAGGCCCCAAACTCCAGGCTGGATTTAAGGACCAGTGTGTCAGCCATTAACAGTACGGAGCGATAGTTCGGAAGGGGAAGTGCTCTGCATTGCAGAAGTAGGGGGAGCTGACTGCTCTTCTCTCGCCACTGCTCTGGGATTAGCGAGCCTTTTTCAAACTCACATTCTGAGCCAGGTGATCAGCACACACCTGCTGGATGCTGAATCCTAAGACAAGACCCCCCAGTTTGCTCCTCACACACATTCCTCTTGATGTGTACAGGTTCTGGCTGCAGATGGTCGCATGGTGGGGACAAGGATCCAGAGCCATCGTGGCTTTTGACAATATCTCCATCAGCCTGGACTGCTACCTCACCAGTGAGTTCACTCTGACCCCAGCACTCTGTCCCCCAACCCCCATGGCCCATGGCCTCATTGTCCCCTCCTCAGCCTAAGCCTGACTGTCTCTCCCACCTCCCTCAGTGTGAAATCATCTCTCACCCTGAAATCAACCCTCACCTAACTCAGCCCGTGGGGTCTTCTCTATTGCAGTTAGCGGAGAGGACAAGATCCTGCAGAATACAGCACCCAAATCAAGAAACCTGTTTGAGAGAAACCCAAACAAGGAGCTGAAACCCGGGGAAAATTCACCAAGACAGACCCCCATCTTTGACCCTACAGGTAAGGGTTCAGCTCACAAATGTGAGCACAGTAACTTCTTGTTGCAAAAGGCAGAAGAAAGATTGGTGCTGTCTTTAGGGTGGGGAGCTGTGCTGAAAGAATGAAACAGTCTTTAGAAGGAGTATCACCTACACTCTGACTATGGGGTCCAAGGGGAAGCTGTCTGGTTCTCATATTGCCTGAGCAAAGGAAACCTCTGGAGGTTGTACAAAGGAGCAGCTTCCTCTATGCCTAGGGAATACCTAGGCCCCACCCAAAGGAGAGAACCAAGCTGGCATTTTTTTCCCCAACTCTGCTTTGAATTCACTGCCGCCTTACTGAACAAAGCAAAGCTTACTGTAAGATTTCTCCTCCTTATAAAGAGGGCTGGGCCTGGCCAAGGTTATCTGTTGCACAAAGGTAGGCTACCCCATCATGGGTAAAGCCCCCAAAGCTTCCTTTCAACACAGTTCCCCCAGAGCTCAGATCCCTCCAAAGCTGTTCTATTCAGCATACCCCAAGCCAAGACTTCTCATGGCCCCTTGCCACTTCAGCAGAACTCGTCAGCCTCTGGTTATAAACCACAGGTGTGACTTCTCCACCACTCTTCTATTAGACCAGCGGCTGTGAACCTAGCCCCGCAGAAGCTGACTAAGGCTGCCCCAGCCCCATGCCAGCCAGCCAAGGGATTTTCCCAGGCAGGCACTGGTGCCTGGGCCTGTGAGGTGTCTTCTGCTATGTATAGCCTGGAGAAACAAGTGTACAACACACAGTCTACCCACACTCTTTTTCCTATAAAAGATAAGTCTTTATCAAAATAATAACAGATCAATGATAAATCTCTAATTTCAACTTATAATGTGAAATCCTTTTTTGGCACAAAGTACAAAAAATGAGGTCCATACCTTTGCCACATCTGCTCTCAACATGTGAACTAGACATTAGCATGGCTTTGTCTTTGAAGGAGTCCTTTCCTTTCTGTCCCATGAAAAGCTGCCCCAGGGCTAACCGTCACCCCTTCCTGATTCCTGCCTGATCTAATCCAGCTGCCAGACCCAGGAGAAAGAGTTAGTTACTTTTCGCATCATCCCTCCCTTCCCCTTTAACTAGAACCATGAAAGACCTTTGTATATTCCCACACAGAGGGGAGCCCGTCCTACAAAACTGCAGCTCTCTCTGCTTTCCCCCTCACCTCCCAGTTCATGCCAATGTCTCACCTGATAGAGGCAGCCTTCTAACTTCTCCATTCAGTGCCCTACCCCCCAGGCCCAGTGATTCACCTCCACTCTCTCCTTGGCTCTTGGTCAACTACCACCTCCCTGTTATAAATTCAGGAAATGTATAAATTTATAAATGGAGGGAAGAAGCCAGACTTCCCCTTTTAGTGTGCTAAGTAAACATAGCCATAGCCCCCTGCCCAGCCTAATCAACAGCACTGATTACACAGCAGAGACTCCAGAAACATCTATTGACTAGTGGGTGGCTGGATGCCTGAGCTTGGATCTCAGGTGTCAGCAGCCAGCCCCCTGCAGCCAGCATTTAGGAAACAGCCATCCACCCTGCTCAACTCCTGAGTTTATTGCCACATAACTCCCACTGTCCCTAAAAGGTTACTCAGTAAGGGCCTGCCCAATGGCCACTCAGACTAATGAAATCACCAGTGGCTCACACGTGGCGATGACTCCCCCACCACCTCTAAATAAAATTACAGGCTGGAGGAGACAGCAGCTGGAACACAAGTCTCCCCACTGAGAAACTTGACCCCTCATTCTCAACCCCAGTCTCAGAGCAATACTGAGGTAGTGCCTATGGGTCCAGGCAGACTCATGGAGGCAGAGGCCAAGGCCACACCCAGTCAGTAATAATCACCCAGCAGACACGTGCCCAGCACGGTGCATGGTTACAACAGGGACAGGGCTGAGCCAATTCTTGCCATTCTGGAGCTTCTGGGCCATGGGAGGAGAGTGGCCTACGAGGCAGCAGGGCATGTTTGCAAAGCCCAAGCTCAGAGCTTCTACCTGGGAGGCCCCCTGAAGAAGGACAGAGGGATAGGCCAGAGGGGGAAGGAAAGGAAAGGAAAGATCATAGAGCGTGGTCCCATAGCCTAGGTTATTTCACACAACAGCTTGTCCTCACACAGGCCCAGGGACAGTTGCTGTTTTTACCATTATAGGGATGAGTAAAATGGTATGGAAGAATTTAAGGGCCCCAAGGCTGGAAGGCAGTAGGGCCAGGAAGTCAACCTGGAGTCCACATTCTTTCACCCAACTAAGCTACTTCTAGGTATCAAAGTCTCCAATCGGAGATAAACACTAAAAATGGAAAAGAGCAGGGAAGAGTTCCAGCCAAGAGGCCCTGAACGAACAGTAAACAAATCAGCTCCCAACCTTCTGACAAACAATCGAGGAGACAGGATAATAAGATTTTTCTTTCCAAAGTTCAAAGCTGTCAGTTTCTGCTGGGCTGGAACGAGGTGGTTGGTGGCATTTCAACTCTCCTCCGGGCAGGCTTTAGAGAACTAGAAACGCAAAGGCCCTTTGGGGTCTTTTGAGAACAGTTACTGACAACACTTCTAAGCTTCCCTAAACATTCCTCACTCCCCACAGCAGCCCTCCCTTCTGATGAGGGACTCAGCCTGACTCCTTGGATCTGGGAGGTTCTTCACCTCCAGGCCCATGGAGCAGAGCTGAGCCGCTCAAGTTTCCAGGCTGGGAAAATCCTGTCCAGGTGCTTCATGCAGCATTCTCGGAAGACTCTGAGTCACTTTAGCTAATCAGATGAAGATGCTGAAAGAGAAAATGGGGCAAGTATTAAGTCCAGGGAAATTACATTTGTCAGCTTTGCACATACAATTACACTAACCAAATGATTGGGGTAATGTGACCACGGGGCTGCAGAGCCAGGTTCTTCTCTCTCTCTCTCTCTCTCTCTCTCCCTCACCCGACTCCCTCCTTCTCTCTCTCTCTCTTTCTATCTCTTTCCCCTCCCTGTGACTGTCTCTCTCTGGCAGTAATGAATGTTAGCAGTGAGGAGGAACAGTCAGGCTCTGCCACACTCTTTCCCTAAAAAGCCCAGATTGGGACAAGCAGGCCCCCCAGGGCCCAAGGACCCTTCCTCAACCTCCCTACCCCTCTATCCTTCTCCTTGGAGCTCAGAGGCTGTCTGTGCAGGGCGAGTCTAAGGGAATCAGCTCAGCTAATGGGAGAACCCGCCCAAACTTTGGGCCCAACTCCACAACCCTAACTATGGAGCCTTGGCATCAAAACCACAGCCTTGCCTCTAGCTATTTGGTGAGAGGTAGGTCTGCCATTTTCTGCATACACATCTCTCGCCAAAGGGGGGATAAAAGCAATTAAAACTATATAGTGTCATGGGAAAAGCACTGGACTAAAAGAGAGAACACCCCCACTGGGCCCTGGCTGGTTGCACTGGCAAGCCGTGGGCGTGGGGCCATTCTGCCTCTGCAGGTCCTCCCATCGGGGCAAGTCTGCAGATGAGGGGGGTTAATGTGAACACAGACAAGGGCAGAGAGACTGCAATTTTTTAAAAAATCAAGGTTAGAAGTAGACAGTGTCCAAGTCCCTTCCCGTTTCCAGCTCCAAGATTCCAAGGGTTGAAGGGCGATACCATCAGGGAGCCATGGCTTTATTTGGCCCATATCTCCAATTAACCCATGGCACTGCTAATGTGCCCAGAAGTGAGGGTGACAGGCTGTCCACTTTCACACACGCTCCTGATTCAAGAACAGATGCCAATTCCAATGAGAAAGTTTTATATGTTTCATATAAATTGATTGGGTCTATTTCTGCTAAATGCATTATCCATTCACCACAGAACAACTATTAGAGTTAATAGAATTTGTAGCTAGAGCCATTATGTTCCAAGTACGCCCTTCTGGGGATGACGGCATCCTTGGAAGGCAGGCTCCACAGGCCTGCATCCTCCCTCAGACCCTGTCTTTCCACTCGATAGGGGTCTTTGTTCCCCTCAGAGCCTGCTGCACTCAGGCCCGGCAGGTCCGGCCAAGCCTACTTCAGTAGCACACCCCAATAGAGGAGGCCTCTTCCCTTCAGAGTCACTCCGTTCCTGAATCAATAATGTATTCTAATCCAGTTCCGAAAAATCCTGGCCTCTTCCTTGCTAGCCCTGCAGAAAATCCCATGCTGGGGACAGGGAGGAAGCCAAGTTCCTCTCTTTAGCCACAGCTCATCATTGCATCCCAGCCTTGAAGGTGGGAGGTCCAAGATGTGAGAAGTCCAGAGACAAGTCAGAGCAGGAAGCAGGAAGTTCCCTCTGGAGGGAACTCAGATAGACTCTTGTGTTAATGGCATCATTAACAGCTTTCCCCAGAAATCCCCAGTTACAGACGCAATCCAGGACTCACAAGTGCAGCAGTGAGCTGGCCAGCCAAGGAACTAGATTCAGCCCCAGGTTTCTCCAAGTGTGTCCTCAAATCATCAGCATCTGGGTCCCCTGGTGTCTGCAAGTGCTGCTTGTTAAAAATGCAGATTCTTGGGCCCCTGTCAACCTATGGAATCCGAATGTCTGGGAGCAGGAAGTCAAAATCCACATTTTTAACCATCCCTCAAGGAAAGTTTGATTAGCAAAAAAGTTTAGGAACCCGGGACTGCATCCTGACCTACAGACAAGGAGCCTGGCCCAAAGCAAAGGCTTTGCATCACATTCCCTCTTCACGCAGCAATCCTAACTGCGATTCACCAAGCACTGCTGTGTGCCAGGACTGTGCTGAGCTCTTGGTGCTATCATAGTATCCCCCTTTAACAGATGAGGTCCAGAGAGGTGAACTAACTTGCACTAAGTTAGACAACTTGTGTAAAAGGCAAATGATCATGTTTCTTAAAAATCATGCAGAAAGTGAAAATTTCTAAGCCAGATAACATTTAGAAGGTCAAAGTTGTGATAAAGAAATCTTTTAGGAATCCCATTATTGAATAGGTCTTCGAGAGGGATCTCTCTTTCATTACTGAATAGATCTTCAAGAGGGATCTCTCTTTCATTATTGAATAGGTCTTCGAGAGGGATCTCTCTTTCATTACTGAATAGGTCTTCAAGAGGGATCTCTCTTTCATTACTGAATAGGTCTTCCAGAGGGATCTGGCTTCTTATGTTAGTTTTCGTTTCAACAGAGCACATCTGCATCTTCACTAACATTCAAGACGGTGCCCCAGGCAGGCAGTGTTCCCACGCACATGTAAGAAAGCTGATAATTGCAGCTAATTGGCATTCCTCCATGCTCCCCAGCCTTCACTGGTGCACTTGGAAGGCACTTCTGTTAGCACCCATTCAGCTGGGGGGGGACTGTTCATTAAGGGGTGGCAGGCATGGGACCGTAGTTAGAACCCTTGGAGCCGCTTGAGACACTGGTCATTTCCCTGCTCAGCTGCCCTGCTGATTAACCTCATGCTCTGTGTTCTTGCTTATTTTAGATTATCTCGCTAATTTTAGATTATCACCTATTTATAGCAAGCACACTAGTGATGACGCAGGAAGTACCAGCCTTAACAAGGCTCTTGGGACCCCAGTCATCGCAGCACGTTCGGCGCCCTCCCAATTAGAATGTCACTATTCATTTGGGTGTGTCTCCCTTCCCTGGAGCAAGCACAGCTGTGCTCCAGGAAGAGAGGTGGCAAAGAACTAATTTGTGATTCATGATCCCATTACCAACGCTAATGAGTCTCTTCCAGTGGAAGAGGCTTTCACGCTGGAGAGCCAGTCAGCATCCCCAAGAGGTGGACATCAGTGAACACCAGGGTTGGCTTGATGGTGAGAAAGCACTTCTCCAGGGACCTGGTGACGGTGACAGGGTGGAACTGGAGGCTGGGCTGAAGGCCAAGCACCCATCAGCAATAGAGCTTCCCAGAGTGTGTTCCGCCATTTGTCAGCCACCTCCTTCCATCTGAACACAGGGTGACAGTCACTAAGCTCATTCAGTGTCTCTTTCATTTGATTCTCACAGACTCCCTGAGGGAGATGTCACTATCAGGAAGCAATATAGCATCTTTTTTAAGAGCACAGACTACCTGTGTCCAAACCCCAGCTATGCCACTCACTCTAAGCACCTCCCTTCTGCTGTCTGTGCCTTTGTTTCCTTGCATCAAAAAATGGTGCTTAGATTATCAATGCTTACAGCGCTTAGGTTTGATGCAAGGATCACATACGTTTATATGTATCCAGGGCTTAGAGAGGTGCCTGACACATACGGAGCTACCTGAGCCATCATTTTCTTCCCATTTTACAATTGAGGAAACAGAGGATCAGAAAGATTATGTGACTTGACCCACTAATCAAATGCAGGGCCAGGGTTCAAAGTCAAGCCGGCTCAATCCAAAGTCTTTCCAACTCTAAGCCCATGCCTGTTAGGAACAATACTAAATACTGCCCAATTGCTGACCAGCATAAGGGAGAAGCTCTTGCTGCATCCAAATCAGCTGTTTTCTTTCCACTCGGGAGATTCAACTCAGCGCCCAATGCAGACAACATCATTGCTTTCCCTGAATCCCAAGCCTAGGGACTAACAACTCATATAGTTCAATTTAACAAGCATGTACTGGGTGCCTGCTCTGTGCCAAACCCTATGCAGGGGCCTGGGGCTCTGAGGCTGTGAACGAGCCAAAGTGTTCTCTTGAAAAATGATTACCCAAAGCTTCGTCTGCATAAGCCCAGTATGAAGCCACTACTATCCCAGCACAAGAGAGACTTCTGATTCTGATCACCTCTAGAACCAGGACAGGTGCCCTCACTTGACCTTGCCCTAGATGGTGCATTGCAAATTATTCTGAACTAATCATCATTTTCAAAATGTGTCCTGTGAGATAGAAAGGCATCAACACTATTATTTCAGAACTTCCCAAACTCAGGCCCTCCTTAAGAAATAGCACAGACTCACCCAGCTCTGACAGACTCAAAGATGCCTCATGAACCTCCAGTCTAATGCTAGGTGGGGGTTGGAATTATGGCAAAGCTGCTGACAAAATGCTTCCACATAAAGTCGATACTGTTGCCCTTCTAAGCAGCAGACAGGAACCATTGCCTTTCTCTCTCCTGGCTGGCCTGAGAAAACATGTTGTTTTTTCTCATTTGTTTCAGTGAAAGCTTGCATAAGTGAGAGACAATAAATGATCCAGGAACTCTGGGCTCAGTATGCCTTGATTAAGATCATTTAGCTTGAAGACTAACAGAACACAAAGGCCCCTCCATCAGGGCAAGTGCATTAAGTACTTGTTTGGGAAGACTGCTTTTTTATCATTCTTCTCTCAGACTTGCTGCTTCTGCCTGTAAAACAGCTCTGCATCTTCTCAGAGCCTATTTAGCTCTCTGCTTGTTGCAGCAAAGCTTCAGTGGTTTTGGACAAAGAAAAACATTTTTTTTAATTCATCCGGGCCTGGAGGTGGACAGTGAATCTAGGAGTAAAAAGGTTAAAATGCTAACTCTTGATCACAAAAGGTGGTCTTCCCAGCTTGCCCCTCTCCTATTGAGAGGAAAAGAAACAAGAGGTGGAATTGCCTTAGCTATCATGGAGTCAGGGAGGAGAGAGAGGGCACAGGGCAGAACTCAGCCCAGCCAGTGCCCTCCCTGCTGGGTGCTTACACAAAAGATGAGGAGGCCAAAGTGTGTACCAGCTGTGCAGCAGGGGATTTGGGGTGCCTGGATAGTTATCTATTGTGTTGTAACAAATGACCGTAAACACAGTGGCTATAACAACACACATTTATTATACCAGTTTCTGCAGGTCAGGAAATCAGACACAGCTCAACTGGGTCCTCCACTTCATAGTCTCTCGTAAGGTTGCAGTTAGGGTGTCAGCCAGGACTGGGGTCTCATCTGAAAGCTCTACTGGGGAAGGGTTCACTGCCAAACTCATATGGTGGTTGGCAGTTCTTGGAGGGTTACTGGACTGAGGGCCTCACTTCCTAACTGGCTGGAGGCCAACCTTGGTTTCTCCCCAGTATGGCAGCTTACTTTTTTAAAGCTAGTGTGGGGACGAGGGGGTGGGGTGGGGAGAGAGAGAGAGAGAGAGTCTTCTAGTAATACAGAAATTATAATTTTATAAGCAAGAAAACGACATCTCACCATCTGTGCCATATTCTGTTGGTTAGAAGCAATTCACAGATCTCACCTATACTCAAAGGGAGGAGGTTACACAAGGGTGTGATTATCAGAAGCTGGAGACCACTGAGGCCATCTTAGAGCCTGCCTGTAGTGGCTTCTCCATGCTGGAGACGAACATTCACCAGGAAGCTCTGGGAGCCCAGTGGGGATTCTGATGGGCAGAATTCCTAGGATCAATCTCAAGACTATGTATTCAATATTCTACAGATGCTTAAATAGTCACGAAGCACCTACTGAGTGCCAGGCAATAGCAAGACAGTAAGTGAATTGGCATAGAATCCCAGAGACCAAGGTTCTGGCCATGCAACTTCAGGAGAGTCAAAGATTCTGGGCCCCGTTTCCTCATCCATCAAGTAGGGATATTAATTACCTGCCACAGTTCTTTCTCAGAGCTGGCTATTGTACTGAGCAAATGAGATCATTTCTATCAGGCTTTCAAAGGTACAAAACAATATGCTGATATAAAATGCTGTTGTGACATTGTAATTAACATTATTATTAAATATATATGTAAGCAAAAAGATGGGCCAATTCACTCACCCCTCATGTGTTGCCTTCTATAAATATTCAGTGCATTTACAGTCCACCTCCTTCTATGAGTTGTGCACACTTTTGTGTATACACGAAATTCTATGAGCTGCACACTCTTATGTATACACATAAATATGTATCTGGAGGGGAGGTTAATATCTTGAATTTTGTGTCCTCTCATTCAGTAAATTCCCCCAACCTAATTGCTCATCAGTTTTCAGGTAAAGCCCTCAAACTCCCCTTGGGGGAAATAAATGATTTGTGTGGGGTATAGAGGATTGCCCGAAAAATCCTCTCATCCGTAGAATTTAAAAGAGGATCTTTAGTCTTCTAAAGCTTATCAAGATCTTGAAAACAATGGATGCGTCAAAACCTTGTTCACGAAAATTCTTTTAAACAAATTTGAAGTGATTAAATTGGAGATGCTTTGTTTGTTTGTTTTGGGGTTTTTGTTTTGTTTTGTTTTGTTTTTTGAGATGGAGTTTCGCTCTTGTCACCCAGGCTGGAGTGCAGTGCCGTGATCTTGGCTCACTGCAACCTCCACCTCCTGGGTTCAAGCAATTCTGCCTCAGCCTCCCAAGTAGCTGGGATTACAGGCACCTGCCACCACACCCAGCTAATTTTTGCATTTTTAGTAGAGACGGGGTTTCACCATGTTGGCCAGGCTGGTCTTGAACTTCTGACCTCAGGTGATCCACTCGCCTAGGCCTCCCAAAGTGCTGAGATTACAGGCATGAGCCACCACGCCCAGCTCTGATTTGTTTTTATGGTGAATATTAACAGTGTCTTCATAATAAGATAAGAGCAAATTGTAGTCATCTAATTTTTATTATTTTTTAGTAAGTGATTGGCAGATCTAACAATGATCATATTCTAGGAAAAATGTTAAAAAGAAAGAAAACAAGGCTTAGTGTGTGGTTGTCCAGCAACCTAACTGAGAATCAGAAAAACTCCCTGAGCGTCAAAATAGTTTCCTGGAAAAGAGGACTATTTCTTTCCCCTCAGCTGGCTTTATGATCGTGATCCTACTAACTAGACCATTCAGTCTACCAGCCAATCCATTTCGTCAGACATGGGATTAGGGGAGTGGCCACGCTGCTAAGGAGTAGGACTCACGTGTTTTCTTAAAAACACAGGGCTCGGCCAGGCACAGTGGCTCATGCCTGTAATCCCAGCACTTTGGGAAGCCAAGGTGGGCAGATCACTTGAGGTCCGGAGTTCAAGACCAGCCTGGCCAACATGGTGAAACCCTGTCTCTACAGAAATACAAAAATTAGCCGGTGTGGTGGTATGTGCCTGTAATCTCAGCTACTTGAGAGGCCAAGGCACGAGAATCACTTGAACCCAGGAAGCAGAGGTTGCAGTGAGCTAAGATCTCACCACTGTACTCCAGCCTGGGTGACAGGGCAAGACTCTGTCTCAAAAAAGAAACAACAACAACAAAAAAAAAACAGGGCACCCTGCATTTTGGATATGTGTATGCATGCATGTATGAGTGTGGGCTGGTGTGCGCAATTGTGTGTGTTCGAGTGAGTATGTGAGAGTGTGCGCCAGCTCCTCAGAAGCCCAACCCCTTCCAATCATGCGTAAGAGACAAAACAAAATGGCTTTCAGCAAACGTCCACTTACACTAACAAAACCACTCTGGTTTGTCCATCTTAAACATTCTAACACTAAAACAGGAGCCCCAAAGGGCCAAAAGTGTCCCAGCACCCACTCACTGTACCCCTGGCATGCATGACCACCTCCTTCTGACCACTCAGGTGGGTTTGGAGATGGCATTTGGGCTACTCTGTTGTTTCTATTTCATTTTGCTTTGGTTTTGTTTTTCACATAACAAAGATTTATTAACCACCCTCTCTGTGACTAGTGCTGTTTTAGGCCCTGGACACAAAGCAGTGAACAAAACAGACAAGCCCTACTCTTATGGAGTATATGTGCTAGTGCAGAAAGCAAACTAGTGTATAGACAGCATCATTTCAAAGTGATATGCCGTGAAAATAGTAAAGCAGGTCAAGGGGACAGGGGTGGTGGTGGCCAAGCACACATGTGTGTGAATGTGGGCCCTAACAATGAAGTATCGAGGGAAAAAAACTTCAGGTTCCTTCAAGGACGTGGGAGCAGAATCAGGAAAATGCTACTGGCTACTAATATTAAGATGCTACTTCTTACTCTAGGCTGGTGTGGCCTAGGGAAATCTTCAAGGCCTTCCACAACATCCTTGCAACACCCAAAGCTCTGAAGGCCTTGACGGTGAAGTGCACTGAGACACAGCAGAGGGTGGGTGGAGTAGGGGAGCATGCCTTGGCTGACCAGACTGGGCCGGGGGAGTGACCAGGGTGCCTGGCTCTTCATCGAAGAAGTCAGGCAGAAGGCCACGTGCAGTCAACTCTGAAGAAGCACGAAAAAGTTGGTTCCAATCCAGGCTGGCATTGCTGTTTGAGAGACAGCAGCAGGATTCTCTGTTCAGTGGTGTTTCATTGCAAGTAGCTGGGAGATCTTGATTCTAGGAGGCTCCATTGAGGTTGAAGTAGGATCCAGCCAATGGCTGGGAGCCCAAGGATTAGTCCAGTCCTACAACAAAAACTATTTTATAGATGACTGCTGATGTTAATTCAGTGGCCCTAGAAGTGACTACTGTCATTATCCAGTGCCTGATAATGTCAAGACTCACATCTCTGAGATCCTCTTGGCCTTTTCTTCATGCTTGTTGCCTCATGGTTACAAAATGGCTGCTGCAACTCCAGCCACCATGACTGCATTGCAGACAAAAATAGGAGGGGAAGCATCCCTTCCCTTCTTTTCTCTAGTCCTCTAGTCTTACACACTTTGCCTTCTCTTCTTGGTCTAGTATTTGGTCCTAATGCTTCCCCACTGCTTTCTTTTCTGCCCCTGAAATTTGGATCTCATATCTTCTCATATGCGTCTCAGTCCTCCAATTTATTTTAGAGGATCTGGGACCTAGACCCAGAAGTCGGGACACCTTTCTAGCTCCAAATCCCCAAGCCAGTTGGGCTGCCTGCACCTCCGTCTGCTCATCTGTCGGAAGTGTTACAATTCCAAGGGCCTTGTAGAGATTTCAGTCATCATGAGTTAGAACCAAACAATGAGCAGGAATGACTTAGAATAGAGTGAGGGGCTGGGGCTTCCCACACGTTTGCCTCTCTCTTAGATGCTAGTGAACCTTACAACAGGAGGCCGCAAGTCCTAATCACATAACCCCTATGGTGATGCACTAGATTAAATCTCTCCTATCCGCAGACAAGAATGGACAAGGCAGAAGTCCATGACCCTTTGGGCTTGAGTGTGGCAGAGCTGGTATTTAAACCACCAACCACTTCCCACTTAAGCCTCAAAACCAAATCCATTATGCGTAACCTGCAGATGGCTGAGTCCACAGCACCCATGTGATATCAAACACTTTATTGGCCCCACTCTGGCCCGAAGCCAAGTTAGAAATAACCAAATTAGCCCTGAGGCCTCCCTTAACTTAATTTTTACAGCTCTGCTTTCAGGGTAGTGTTTTTCCTGTGACCTTTCTCTTCTCCCTTGTGTTCCTGACTTTCCCTTGGGGAGCAGGGGGTGGCTGCGAACACAATACAGCAGCCATCACAGGAGCCATTAAAATCTCCTGCAGATCACTGGGTGTCAGAGCTGCTTAGGGCAATTCAGCCCTGAAAGCAGCTTTTATCTAGACAGCCCCAGCTTGCTGCCCTGTTGATGGGGGCAAGCTCACTCGGAAGTCCCTCTCCAAGAAGGGGTGTCTGCCTTCCGCAGGGAGGGAGATGGGCCTCTGGTCTTTGTTCCATGGGATACTTCAGCATTATCAGGCACTCTGCCTGTCTAGAGAAACTGTGTCTGGAGCAAGGAAACAACAGTGTAACAGTAAAAATGAGATCATGTGTGTGAGCATTTCTAGTAAAAGACAGGGCTGGTGTGATCATTGTTGTTGTTACCACCCCTAACTTCTCATCATACACAAAGAACCACAGAGAAAGCTTTGCCTGAATGAACGGGGTGGGTGTGTATACACAGGCACACATGGGCAGGCGCTCACAGGTGCACATGCAAGCATATGTGCATGTATGTGTATAAGCACACACATGTGTGTACCTGTGCATGCACATACACGCAAATAAATTCGGTCTGAGAAACAAGCTGGAAGAACAGCATGGAAAATTCATCAACTGAAAACAGTTCGTGTTGTAGAAAGAGGGAAGGTGATGTGCCCCTCCTCACTTAGCCCCAGGTTTACTTTGCAATCACTGGCCAATTGCTTAACTTTTCTACATGATTGCATGACTTATGAGACAAAAGTCACAGTTCTTCTCCCTTCCCTATCTACTGACCTATCGTGGTTGTAAGGAGCTAGGCTTACTGGAGGAGAAATGTACCATAAATTGTCCATTGAAATTGAAGGCCTCAACATTCTCAACCCTGTTCATTCAGAATCATGATACCATCCTTTTATCTGAAGTTAGACTTCCAATACCTTCCACCATCCACCAAATATAAATGCCAAAATATAAATACGTTCCAAAACTGTGACATAAAGATTTTCTGCAGTTAACTGCCCCTTAGCCTGATACATGAAGAGGGGTAGGGCCACTCTCATGCCCTCACCTGATCTTAGAGGTAAAGTAAGATTAAACACGGGTGGACATGCTGCAGTACCGAGAGACACCTGCCAGCAGAGACAGAGTCACTATAAAATATTTATGCCTGAGGCCATTTAGTGAAGAGTCAAATAGCCCTAAACAACTCATTAAGTCTGGGAAGCACTATCAAGAAAAGGTTAAATTATACTTAGTGAGCTGTATCGAAAATAGGCAGAGCATAATGAAACGGCAGGTTCTAGACCATGGTCATTGGAGATGTCCCTGAGGTGAAATCTGAAAAAACAAACCTGCAGCCCAGGAAGAGAAATGCAGGTGAGGGCTCTGACCAGATAAATGGCATACAGGGGCTCACCATAGCAAATGAGCTCAAATGATTTCTACATTTAAAAAATGTTTCTAGGATTCTGGGAAGAGGGCAGTGATGGTGGTAACAGCATAGTTTTTTTTTTTTAATCTTTCCAAATCCCTACATAAGCACAGAACACCCATATATCAAAACTGAAAACCCATGAACAATATTGACAGCAAAATTTGAAAATAAGGCATTCCCCTAAAACTTCAAAATGCAAGTGAGATAGGTCAAAGCACCAACAACCACAAGACCTGCATGGTATCAGCATCTGTACAAGATATAAGACAGGAAAGAAACAGGCCTGAGAACAGGAGAACCCCTAAGTAGCCAAGAGATAGTTGCTAGAAATTACAGAAAGCCAGTCTGAGAGCAGCTTCTGAAAGTGGGAGCGGCTTTGCCCAGTGCAGGGGACCAGGAGTACCACAGTCAGATCTGAAGGCGCTGGAGCAGCCTGGCCAGCAAACGTCATTGCAGGAAAGGGCCCACTTGGAGAAGAAAGTTCTGGGGATAAAATCAATATTGAGTAGGAAAGGGATAATAGAGAATAAATAAGAGAATGTCCAGATAAAAGTGAAGGAAAGAAACAGTCAGAAACCTCAGAAAGCAAACTGCGTTTTTTTGTTGTTGTTTTTTTTTTTGTTTTGTTTTGTTTTTGAGGCAGAGTCTCCCTCTGTCACCCAAGCTGGAGTGCAGTGGCATGATCTGAGCTCGCTGCAACCTCAGCCTCCTGGCTTCAGGTGATTCACCTGCCTCAGCCTCCCAAGTAGCTGGGACATAGGCACCCACCACCATACCTGGCTAATATTTGTATTTTCAGTAGAGACGGTTTTACCACGTTGGCCAGTCTGGTCTTGAACTCCTGACCTCAGGTGATCCACCTGCCTCAGCCTCCCAAAGTGCTGGGATTACAGGCATGAGTCACCACACCTGGCCAAACTGCCATATTTTTGAACACTGTATTAAAAAAAGGAGTAGAGGGAGTTCTGTGAAATAAAAAAGCTCCTGAACCCTAAAAATCCAGGAAAACTAATCTCACATAAAAATACATAACAGAAGAGCATCAAGATCAAATATCATTCAAAATTAAAATAAGAAAACAAAAACAGGATACAGAGGGCGGAATAACACGCCTACAGAAAGCAAAATCATGCCAGAAAGACGTGCTTATTGGATGAGTCAGAATCTAACCTTCTGTTTTAAAATGAGCTAAAAGACACAAAAACAATAATACAAGACATGAAAAATAACGTAAGTCATTGTAAGAAAAACAGAAATGTGGTGCTAGAACTCAGCAAAGAATTTGCAATAAAAGAAAAACTATTTTCAAAAATGAAGGCTAATCTATTAAGGGAAGGAACAAAAAGCCAACAAACACAACAGTTTATGCCTTATAAGAAATAGAAGTTAAAAAGAGGAAATTTTTTAAAATGAAAAAGATGACACACATCAAAGACTCTATTTTCTTGTTATATAAAGTGTTGCTGTCAAAAACTCTGATAATTCTAAATTTCCTTCTCTAATAAGTCATTTGCTATTTTGCTTAGGTGCCCAAAGTATTTTTTTCTTTTTATTTTAAAGTCCGGCAACTTTACTAGAATATACATGAAGATCCAACATAGAAATAATTGAAAGACCTGACGAAGAAAACCGAATAACTAGAACAAAACAAAATACTTAAAAGTATAACTCCAGGAAAATATCCTTATTGAAGCTACTTGTTAAAAGAGCACACTGTATACCTAAGAATATTAACCCAGAATGAGCGGTACCAATGTGTATTCTAGTAAAATTGCTGGACTTTAAATAGAAAGAAAAAAATTACTTTGGACACCTAAGCAAAATAGCAAGTGACTTATTAGAGAAGGAAATTTAAAATTATCAGTTTTTGACAGCAACACTTTATATAACAAGAAAATGAGTAGCATCTTTAAGATACTCTAGGGAAAAATATATTATCAACACTCAAATAATTCAAGGAATATTTCTCCAGTGACCCCTCTCTAAGGAATTTACTTTAAAACAAGCTTCGGACAACGAAAATGACTACAGAAATAGCAACATAATGACTGGTGTGAGCAATAAATATAAATACTTACAGAACTATGACGAAGTAAGGGATAAAGAGGAAAGAGAAGCATATGTAATGGCTATCTGCCCGGGGCAGCTATGTGTAGTACAGTACACAAAATCACAGGAGAATGGAAAGAACATATACAAAAAAAAGTTGAATGCTCTCAATTTTTATATTAATTATGGTGGTAGTAGTAAAGATTGTGACTCTAATACTGTGTGTAAGGAGAGGTAAAGTAAATGAATAATTACAATATATTCTAATTCAACTATCACATGTGTTTCTGAGAGACATGGTTCTCAGTGTGAAAAAAGAAATGCAGATATGATATACACGAGGTTAAATAAAAAGTCCTGTCGTCCTGAATTTGAGTTGGAAATATCAATATGAACTCATGATGTACCTTGTGATATACATATGTATGTGTATTTCATATAGATGTATGTTTATACTGATATACATATATGCATGCACATATATATTTCCTAGCTCTGTTCACTCAAAAAAATAGACAATCACCAACCCAGTAGCAAAAAGCTTCCATAGCACCCAGAATATGTACTTAAAATACCTTTTCCTACTAAGAGAAATCAGGGCTTTTGAGGAAACGGTTGATTCCAGGTCTGGAGAAGAAGTATTTTGTCATATCATATAGCAAAGAAGCTTTAAAAGTCTACTAGCGTCATGTCAAAAGGACCTGGGAGGCTACCACTGACCAAAGACGTGATCATTTGAGCTTTCAGAGAATAGTAATTGTGAATAATTAAAACTGAAAAATATGTTTAAATTCATGGATTCATAATAATGTACAAACAGTTAATTGGCCAGCTTCAGAGGATGATAGAGAACCAATTCAGTATCTTGAAATGTATACATAAGGAGAAATAATTCAGCATTTATTCTGCATTTTCTACATGAACCATATTACTCAGTAACCCAAATAGTAGATTGGGGGAACATCTTTTTATAAATATATTCCAACTAATGTATGAGGAAAGAGGTAAATAAGTAGAATAACATTATTTTGCAACTTGCAATAAATAAATGGTTCTAAGCATTGAGCTTTGTTTGATAAGTGCTAACATGATAAAAGAGAGCAATAATCAGACACAAAGTATCTCCTGATGAAAGAACATGACCTGTAGTCTTGCAAAAGGATCTAGTTGGCAATTTGCAGGACAGAGAACATGTTGAACTGCCCCATGGAGAAGGAGTCAGCAAAATTCAGAATCTGGGAAATGCTGCAGTCAAATAGCCCAGTTTCTTCAAAACGAGAAAATATGGAGGCCAGGCGTGATGGCTTTTGCCTGTAATGACACCACTTTGGGAGGCCATGGATCACTTGAGCCCATGAGTTCAAGACCAGCCTGGGTAATATAGTGAGACCTCATCTCTACAGAAAATTTAAAATTTAGCTGAGCATGGTGGCATGTGCCTGTGGTCCCAGCTACTCTGGAGTCTGAGGTGGTAGGATCGCTTGAGCCCAGGAGATGGAGGTTGCAGTGAGCCAAGATCATGCTACTGTACTCCAGCCTCGGTGATAGAGCAAGACTATGTCTCAAAAAGAAATGGATGAATTATTATATTTGCCTGGATTTTGGTCATGATTTTTATTTACTGGGACCTAGGGTGCCCATCAAAATGGCTCTGTATGCCACAGCATCCATGGCATTTAGTTCAGTCAGTGGATGTGGATGAAATTCAATGCTATGGATCTGAATAAAAATTGTACAAATGATCCACATGAAGCATTGAGCGCTCTTCCGTGGTACAATACACACAGGCCTCCAAACTGAGGCAGATCCTTACTGTTGTGATTAATAGTGACGATCGAGAACTTTCCTTTGTATTATGCTTTATTTCTTTGCATTGAATTCAGCAGATGAGATTGTTTAGCAACAGTAATAAAACCAGGACAATCATTGTCTAGCCTATTTTTTTTTTAGCGATGTACTGTTTATTACTAATTGATTTGTTTCTTCTTGGAGGGTGCTACAATGTGCTTAAAATGAAACCCAGTGCTTAATAGACTTTTCTGTACTCAACTGTCTATAACCAATCAGTATTTTGATATTTGTGGGTTCTTTATACAGTTTAGATATGAATGAGTATTAAACTATGTTTTCAGTATGGGGTATGTGTAAGAATGAGATAAGGCAGTTCTTTTTTTTTTTCTTTCATAAATGAGTATTAATAGAATAGGTTTGTTTGTTTGAGAGAAGAGGAAAGAGGCAGGTGACGTCCCTCCTCTGCCCCCCATCCCAGATCCTCCCTGGGGACCATTTGATCATCCTACAGCTCCATAGGGCTTCAGAGACCAAGGCAGACCCTCAGCAGGGGAGATATGGGGACCTTTAGATTGTCTGCTCAGCATCAAGCCAGCCTCACTGCTAGTCTCACTGTGACCTTGATCTTCTCTCCAAAAACTGGGATTTTTGTCCTGTTGCTTATGACACAGTCTCTCTCTGCTTCCTGACCTTATAAACACTCCAGTTACTAGGTTTCCCTTATGACACTGCCTTGCTCCCATGTCCTCTCTGGGGACCAGAGCCTCAACCTGAGCACCTTCTCTCATTGGCTGACACCTTTGATCCTGCACAGCCCATGCTCCACTAGGCTAAGCGACTGCGGGGGCCACTGCAGGACTTTCTGGGATGGAGGGTCCACTCACCTCAGTATAGTGACCATACTCTCACCTGTCCCCTCATAGTGGCCTGCCTACTCTTTGGGCCTGAGCAACCTTCATATGGTCTGTCCTGGCTAGAACTGAGCCCCAGGCTCAGGGATTTCAAAAGAAAAAAAAAAAACACTCAAAAGTGTTCCCTAGAGATTTCCTGGGGAGCTGAGCCCCTTTTCAAGCCTTGAACTTGGACTCAGAAGATCTACATTTAGTTCCTGGCTAGACCAGTTATCTACTTCGTATGCTGCAGACCAGCCACTCAACTCCTCTGAACTTGAATGTCCTGATTTTTGGAGGGAACACTGTAACTCCACTCGCAGCACTACAAAGTTGCAGCAAGCATAACGGCATTTCCTGCATGTGTGAAAGCGCAGTGACTGGCCTATATTAGGTGCACAGTAAACACTGAGAGGTTTTCACCCCTTTTGTGAGTGGAGATTACCTCTCAGGTGCCTGAGGTGCAGCCTCCCACCCCAACTCCTTACCCAGGAAGAAGGACAAAACAAGTCAGGAAGCACACAGCTTCTACCTGGGGATCAAGGCTCACCTTGACTCCTCCTGTCCCCTGGAACCACTCTTGCTAACTCTCTTGCCTCTCTGGTTTTAGACCTGCTCACTTTGATCCACAAAGTGGTGCCCATTGCCTTCCACTTCAGCAACACTTTTGAAAATCAACCTAGCATCTGCCTGTCTTCTCATGGTTCTGACTCAACCTGTCTTAGCGTAGAGCTGATCTCATGTCTACCCTACCTGAAGTACCTGCCAGATTCTTCCTGCTTGAAGCAAGAGCCTACCCCTTGGGCAAGGATGTGGAAATAATTAGAGTCTGTCCCCAGCAAGCCTCAGTCCAGTGCACAGCTAAGAGAGGTCAATAGTGTATGGAGCAGCTTCAGAGAGACACTATAGATAAAACAGAATAACAAGAGTCCCCTTATGCAAAGTCACAGGTACCCACAGCTCTGGTGGGTCAATCATGAAAATCAGACTCTGGTATTAAGTAAGGTTCTGAAAAAGACAAGGTGGGTCCGGGACTTATGTAGGGACAATCTGACAAGGCTTGGAAGTCTTCAAGGCAGAAATCTGGGAACGGTTTAATCACCCCCAAAGGACCCTTGGACCGAGAAGGAGGAACCCTCAATTTTGGTTCCTTCTCCAATACTGATAGGCTCAGAAAAGTCACTTCTCCCTAAAATGCTGTTTCTCCACCTGGACAATGAGGTGCAGAAGACTAATGTACAAGTCTCATCGAGTATTAGATTCTCTTGAGAATGCTTTTTAAATGTTTCAAGTATTGCCTTCTCATCCCCACCCAGGATCTACTAAATTTGAATCTCCAGGTCCCTAGAATCTGTATGTGAAAGGTCCTCAGGTGGTTTGGAAAACACTGAATTCAGAGATTGCCAAGGTCCCACTGTGCTGTGACATTCTCTGATGACTACAGGATTGCAGACAGTATGAACAAAGGGAACCAGCAGATGAAGCTGGAGCAGCCCACACATGAGAAGCAGGACAGCCCTCGCACAATGAGCAATACACTCAGAAACTCCACACCCCCAGAGGCAGTGCTGGTGGGAATCATAAATTGATTCCAAGCAACTCTGGGCAGATTTATGAGGGTCAGAGCCATCCAAGGCAGCGAGGACCACCATGCCTTGAAGGCTGCTGGGAGCAACAGAATTCTGGCAAGATAAATCATGGGTCTGACACAGGATGGCAAATCCTCTCTTCCCACAGAATCCACTTTAGAAAGCGTTCCCTCTCTAGGCCCATCCGTCTGAAATCACTGAAAATCAAAACAAAATTTTGTGTATGGAAACCACTGGAGACTAATGTATGTCCACTGAATTGGGAAAGTACAGGTCCCTTTTATTGAGAAATGACCCTGGAGTCCCTCCTTTATGAAATGGAGGACATAAATTTTGAGATTGGATATCTGCTTCCCACAGTGAAAACTTGAATGCAAAGTTACACACGTTTTAAACTGTAGTCATTGTGCATCTCTAATGCTGAATGTTGTACTAAGCACTTTGCCTAGGTCATCGTCTAATTCTCACAGAAAGTCTAGGTGGTATGTCTTACAGTCTCCAATTGTTCACATTTTAAAAACTGAGGCTTAGAGAGGTTGTACAATCTACCTTATGTCTCACAGCTGGCCAGCAGAGACATCCAGAATGAGAACACAGCCTATCTGAATCCAAAGCCTAAGCCCTTCTTCCTCCCTCACCAGATGTCTCACCTTGCCAGAAGTAGAAGCCCAGCATCTCTGGGAATATTTCAGAACCCTCAGAATAAACTAACCTAGGCTGAAGTGGTTCCCACTGAAGGTGAGATGCTCAGGTAGTGTGCCAAGCCCATACCTTTAGATGTCTTCCCTAGCACTCTATTGAGAAGAATACACACACACACATATATGTATTCATATATATATATAGAGAGAGAGAGAGAATATGTATTCATATATGTATTAGTCCATTCTCATGCTGCTAATAAAGACATGCCTGAGACTGGCTAATTTATAAAGGAAAGAGGTTTAACTGACTCACAGTTCAGCATGGCTGGAGAGGCCTCAGGAAACTTACACTTATGGCAGAAGGGGAAGCAAACATGTTCTTCACATGATGGCAGGAAGGAGAAGAATGAGTGCCCAGTGAAGGGGGAAGCCCCTTACAAAGCCATCGGATCTTGTGAGAACTAACTCACTATCATGAGAACAGGATGGGGAAAACTTACCCCATGATTCAATTATCTCCATCTGGTCCCTCCCATGACACATGGGAATTATGGGAACTACAATTCAAGATGAGATTTCGGTGGGGACACAGCCAAACCACAGCTATCTACCTATCTATCTATCTATCTATCTATCTATCTATCTATCTATCTATCTATCTAATATAGATATATGTATTCTTTCATTTTCAGGGTTGAATTAACTAAATAAACTGCCACGCTTCTGCCCTGTGATTGATAAGGCCACCCCCACACCCAGGCTGCTTGCTGTAAGGAAAGCCTGGGTCTGCAGAACAGGTTTCAAGGAACTATAGATAAGGAGAGGAGTGGATTTCACAACTTCTTTTCTGGGGTTTTATTTTTCTCCCTGCCCCCATCCCTCCTCCCCAACCCACTGACTTTAAATTCCCAGGTGCTGTTGGCACGGGATCCATATTCACAGCAACTCCCCTGGCCACA
Organism: Homo sapiens; assembly: GCF_000001405.40. NCBI lineage: Eukaryota > Metazoa > Chordata > Mammalia > Primates > Hominidae > Homo > Homo sapiens. The sequence continues at coordinate 29,253,547 of NC_000002.12, read as the reverse complement.
TGTCCTGCTGTCCAGGACAGCACCAGCCTTGGGTACAGGCAGGAGTCAAGGACACACTCACATGTTTAGAGTTTGGGACTTAGCAGCGAAATTTCCTACCCCTTTGCTTCTTTTAATATGTCAATCCAGCCTCTTTTACAGACAAAGGAACTAGATCAAGATCCCCTAATCAATAAATGATGAAGCTGCCCCCAAACCCTGGTGTTCATGCTGATTTCAAAGCCTGTGTTCTTTCCACATCACCCCTCGTGTGGTGACGTAGCACAGCCCACACATATATTTTGGGCACAGGAGTGAGTAAAAGGGCAGCTGGTCAAACTAGCTCTGCCAAAAATGCATTCTATAAAGAGTCTGAATTAGCAGGTTTGCCCTCTTTATAATAAAAATAGAGGATGGGCATGGTAATTCATGCCCATAATCCCAGTATTTTGGGAGGCTGAGGCAGGAGGATCGCTTGAGCTCAGGACTTCAAGACTGCAGTGAGCTATGATTGTGTCTCTGCACTCCAGCCTGGGTGAGAGAGTGAGACCCCCATCTCAACAAAAAGTTTTAAAAATTAGCTGGGCTTGGTGGGGTAGGTCTGTAGTCCCAGCTACTCAGGAGGCTAAGGCAGGAAGATTGTTTCAGCCCAGAAATTCGAGGCTGCAGGAAGCCATGATTGTACCACTACCCTCAGCCTGAGCAAGAGTGAGACCCTGTGTCTAAAAAAAAATAAATAAAAAATCAGGAAACTAACAATCAGCCATTCACACCCAAAGTGAATGGCTCCATTACCTTCTAGCCCCTGAAATGACCATCCTGAAACCAAATAGAAATAAACATCTTCCTTTGCAAAAAATAAATAAATAAATAAATAAATGAAGCCCAGAAAAGTGTTGAGGACTCCGTGCTGAGTAGCATATGCATTAGAACCCCACCCAGAACTTCCACCTCCCAGCCTCTGGGCCAGGGCAGCATGACAAAAACCCACGACAACTGGCCCAGTTTTCAGATTAGCAACCCTGCCCATGGCAGTCTCAATCTATTGCTTATAATCGGCAACCCAAGTTAACCTTTCACATTTACGTAATTAAATTAGTGCAGTCTTCAAAATGTTTTCACTTTAATGTCTTAGCAAAATTATGCATGCCCAAATTAATGTTTCCATCATTTTCCTTAGACTAGAACTTAATCTCTCTTTTAAGGGAATTTCTGCAATCTTATGAGATTTTTGTATTTTAAGTAAAAGTAGTTTATCAACAACACCTTTTTAAAAGTTTTTATAGGTTGTAAAAATGTTAGAATTTTGGCCAACATGAGATCTGACAACTCCCCAAGGTTTGGTCTGGCTCAAAGATAGAAAGTTTGAAAGGAAATGGCCCGCGGGGGGTGGGGGGGTGCAGTTTGTGCTGAGTGTTCCTGTGTTGCCCCCAGAAAGCCACCTAGGGACGTTGGGTGGGACACAGAACACCAGGAATGGGTGAGGGGGAGCTGGGAAAAGGAGGAGCATGCACCAAAGACAAAGTTGACCTGTTTTTCCATTTTTTATACTCTGTTGCTTGGAGAGCCTGAAAGCTGTCTTCGTTGCATTTCCAAATGCAAGCTGGTTTTAATAAGGAGCCTGAGCCCTGCCTTGCTGCAGGTCTGTTAGGGAGCGTCTGACAGGCAGGCCAAGCCATGGCCAGGGAGTGCAGGGCTTCCTGCTCCCACCACCAGCCTGGGTCCCTGAGCCAATGTAGCATCACCGAGCTTTCAATTCTCTTTTTCAATTGTCTCCAAGCTAAGAGGCTCCTATAGGCAATGCTGAGCCTTTGGGAGCAGGTTAGTTGCAGTCAACTATAGCACAGATTGAGCACCTGTTGTTTGCCCAGCACCGTGCTAGGCTCGGTGAGAGACTGGGAGAGGACCCAGCTACTGCCTACGCCTGTCCCACCTGCAGGGGCCTTCTCCCCTTCCTGGAACTCCCCTAGCGCAGTGTTGGCTGGGCCCTCCTGTGGCTTGCTATTCTTGCTGTCCTGGCCTCCCTTTGGGTCTCTCATAGTAGCCTGTAAGCTGCTTAAGGCCAGGGTCCATCTTAAGTCTGCCCCATCTTTGTCTCTGACTCAGGGTCTGGCACATAGTAGGCTTTCTGTGGAAGTTTCCAGTTCGATGGCTGATTGGTGTTTCTTGCCCTGACCTTGGTGCCATCTTGGATGGAGGGTTTGGGGCCATGGAGCAGATATCTCAGAGGCCACCCAGGGAGGCCCCTGGAGGAGGGAGGGCCTGGCCACATGAGTGACTGCCTCTCCTCTTGTGCCACAGTTCATTGGCTGTTCACCACATGTGGGGCCAGCGGGCCCCATGGCCCCACCCAGGCACAGTGCAACAACGCCTACCAGAACTCCAACCTGAGCGTGGAGGTGGGGAGCGAGGGCCCCCTGAAAGGCATCCAGATCTGGAAGGTGCCAGCCACCGACACCTACAGGTGCGTATGGAAGAGGGGGAGGGGAGGGGCAGACCACCCCTTCCGAAGAAGCCTGGAGTCTTGCCTATGGGTGCATGTTCCTGGGGTGCCCAGGCATGTCAAGGTTCAAAGGCAACAGACTCAGGCCCATAGGGGGTATAAAGGTTGGAGATGGGGAGATTTGGGAGAGTGAAATATGGCAACAAAAGAAGATGTGTCCTTTGTCCTCAAGAAACTCACAGGCTGTTCGTGGAGGTGATATGCATGCATGAGCTAGCTTCAGAATTATTGCTAATAAGGATAATTATGGTGGCCTGTTCATTGAATATTGCTTAATGCTCTTCAAATGAGGCATGCATGTAAAATGTTTGGGAAACAGAAGCACAATGCACCTGAAAGCTGATGCTCTTATCCTTGCGCCTCCTTTCCTGGGCCTTCACTGTTGGTAAGAGAGCAAACTGTTCTGGAACGCTCCTCCCAGCCCCAACCCTACCCCAGCCCCCAGTATTCCCTTAGAGCAGAGCCAGGCTGGAACGAGATCCAGCTCCACTTGGCCACTTTGAGGCCATGGCATTGAATGAAGCTAATGGTAAGACTGGAGGGCTGGTGGAGACCCTGATTGCAAGACCCCCTCCTGCAGCATCTGGTTCTGCAGGTCTGGAGTGGGGGCTGAGAACTGACATTTCTAACAAGTTCTCGGGTGGTGTCAATGCAGCCTTTTAGAACCTCTGAGCTCGATCAAGTCTTGGACTTAAATAAACCTGGGTGGCCCCCAAACGAGCTCTATGACTAGGCAAGGCCAGTGCTGCCATCCTCGTTTTACAAATGAGGACACTGAGGCTCAGAGAGTCAGGAGCCTCCCCACAGTTACACATCCAGAAGCAGCCTCCACCTCCAGAGTTCTGGGGCAGGGCCTCCCGTGGCTCCACCATGGAGCATGGCAGGGCAGGTTAAAAGGAAAGCAAAACCACTATGCCTTGTGGGAACAGTGTCCCCCAGGGCTGAAACAATAGGAAATGAGCTCGCCTCCTCTCCCCGCAGCCTCCGGGATCCACAACATCCTGGGCCTCCTGGGAAGGAGAGGGACTTCTCAAGTTGCCCTGTTTTCTCTCTCCAGGTTAACATTTCTTGTGGCAGCCCCATCCCTGGGGCCTCAGGGTAAATGTGTTACGGGGACAGCCCTAAGTGCTTTTTAAATGGCACTCCGGGCAGAAATGCTATAACGAGATTTGGCTACAATCAGATTAGCTGCTACAGTGCCCACACACCCCCAGTAAATATCCCGGAAGACACCGGACCACCCCTGGCCCTGCTACACCAAGCAAGCCAGACCTCCCCTTCCTGCTGAGCCAAGCCTCCGTGGGGCCCAGGGCGGGGAGGAAAGGACTCCTGGAGAGGAGGAGAGGAATGCTTGCTAAGGACCCACAGGTGTTGCTCCTGTATGAGCATAGGGTGGGTAGCATTATTATTGGTGTTCCCATGTTTCCAAGGGAGAACTCTGGAGTCGGAGGAGCTTAGCAACACATGTAAGGCTGCACAATCAGTGATGGAGCTGGGATTCAAACCCAGGGTGCTCTGGCTCAAAGTCTGTGTTGTTTCTACTAAAGCCCATGCCTGGACTCTGGGAGGCATGCAGAGGGCAGAAGGGACAGGAAAGGAAGGAGGGCATAGGAATCACCCACCACCCACCTCCTGGAAGCCTCTGGAAATGAGAGGCTATGAGAGGGGCCCAGCCTCCTGAAGGGATATTGGGCAACACACCCCGTATACAAAAAGCAATATGAAGAAGAAAGCAGAGGCGCTGGGAGGCGCACAGGAAACCCAACAGTAAGCCCCCAGCGGAGCCCATTGTCCTACCCCTGCCCAGGGCAACTCCAATGCCAGCTTGGCCAGAATTCCCCTGCTCCCTGTCCCACAGAGGGGGACAAACTCTCAGGAGATCCCTTGAATGGGGATTCTCTTGGGCTGTGTTCCCCCGAGACAGTGTGAATCAAGCTCACTTCCAAACTTGCACAGGTCAGCTAATCTCTTGAGACTCTGTTTTCCCATCTGTAAGTGGCAGGGGCTGTAAAGGTGACATATAGTGCCTGGCACAATGCTTACACGTGGTGGGTGCTCCCTGGCCCATGGGTGGAGAAATCAGCTGAAGCAATGCTGCTATGCAGCAGCAGGCAGCAGGCAGGCAGTGTTTCCAAGAACACGCCGACCCCATACGCGGTAGTTTCTGACTTTTCCTGTCTCCAAAGACTTTTCTCTGACTTCCTCAGATGAGCCCTGTATTCTGAAAAATTTGGACTGCCAGATGAACTACACTTATTAAATAATAATTAATTCATTTTCCCATTTATTATTAATCACAGCCATATCTAAGTCGAGTCAGGTTTCTGATCTGCATGAAGTGCCACATTATTTCCACAGTGCATTCATAGAATCCCAGCCAAAATCAGAAAGCTGTCTCCACTCATCTCTTTGAAATATTGAGACTGAGGCCAGCTCCGGGCCCCAGCACTGTCTGGCGATTTTGCCTCTGTTGAAGCAGGACATTTCGAAGTGTCCAAATTAGTAAAGGAGGCATTTTGGTCTGGCCTAAGATAGGACCATATCAAAATGGAAGAACCAAAACCAAAAGCCGCTCAGTTGGGGTTTTTGTCACTGCTGTTTTTGAGACAGAGTCGCGCTCTGTTGCCCAGGCTGGGGTGCAGTGGTGCCACCTCAGCTCACTGCAACTTCCGCCTCCCAGGTTCAAGCAATTCCCCTGCCTCAGCCTCTCGAGTAGCTGCAATTACAGGCATGAGCTAATTTTTGTATTTTTAGTAGAGACGGGGTTTCACCATGTTGGCCAGGCTGGTCTCTAACTCCTGGCCTCAAGTGATCCTCCTGCCTTGACCTCCCAAAGTGCTGGGATTATAGATGTGAGCCACCACACCCGGCCAGTCACTGTTGTTTTTGAATACTTATATTTTAACCAAATAAAGGCTCTAACAGATATTCCTGACCCTCACCTCCTCCTTGGCCTTGGAAGAGACTCAGGTCTTAGATGACCTGAGTCTATTGGTCACATAACTTAGTAATCTAAGAAGCAGACAGTTAATGATTTGATTTTTAGACCACTTCAAAATGTCCCCAAGTCAGAATATGACTGAGAAGTCAGCAACCTTTCTCTGAAAGACTTTTTCTCCATAGTAATTATTACTATTTAATAAGTGCAGTTCATCTGTTGAAAAAAACACAAGATGCACCAGAGGACGTGAGAAAAAGGTGCTTGGAAACAGAAAGGTGGGAGCCGAGCCCTAACGAACCCACCCATCCTGGAGGCATGGCTGCCACCGAGGCCTGGCACTGGGACGGCTCCACTGACTTCTCTGCCCACTGCTGGGGAGGTGAAGGGAAGGGAGCGAATGCTACCAAGCCCCAACTTCATGCCAAGGGGGGGCCACCATTGCCTGGGGCCTCCTCCAGGATGTACACAGTTGGAAACACCCCCACTCTTAGCTGGTAACTTATCCTGGGCCCACCTCCCACCCTCTACAGCTTTGCCCACCTCCACAAAGGAAGAGGCCCAGAAAGAGGGAGAGGAAGGGGGTGCGGGGCAGGCAGGAGAAGACAGCAGGCTGGCATGGGGGCTTGGGTGCAACCCTGGAACCCCCATCTCCTCCACCCACCATGTCCTGCCTTCCCTGCCCTGGACTTACCCCTTCCTCTGAGAGCTGATGCAGTCTGTGTGTCCAGGTTCCTGGGCTTCATTCTCCCCCTGCTCTGCAGATCTCAGTGACCCATAGTAAGCACCAATTAGGATGCTGTGCCTGACACCAAGTGTGCAAAGGTGATGAAGATCCAGCCCTGCCCCAGAGGCCCTGCTGCCAGTGGTGGTGGTGGTGTGTGCACAGGCATCTCCGTGGGGTGTAGGGAGAACTACAGTGGAGGTTTCCACAAGGCGCTGCCGCGGAGGCCGGGGGAAAGGCGCTGCCGCGGAGGCCGGGGTAAAAGGCGCTGCCGCGGAGGCCGGGGGAAAGGCGCTGCACTCAGCTGAGCTTGTGAATGGCTTCTGCCAGGAGAGGGGCACCTGGGTTAAGTTCGAAGGCCCTAAGCATTGTCTACAAAAAAGCGGGTGGCCAGAGCCTGCGGTGAGCACAAGAAGTCGGTACTGCCGATGAGAAGTCGGGCAAGGCTGGCCTCGGGGAGCCGAGGCTGGAGGCAGCAGGGCCAGGTCCTGGGGCTGCAGTGTTACCCCCCAAAAGGCCTCTCGCTCCCCCTGGTGAAAGCATGAGGGTGGAAGTGAGAGAAACGGCCTGGAGGTGGGGAGAGCAGTTGGAAGGGAGTCACTGTCACTCAGGCCATGGTCAAAAGGACTGAGCCAGGACAGGGGAAAGATGGCAGGGGAGGGTCAGGTGCAGGGGACAGGCCCAGAGGTGCTCAGGAGGTGGGATCAGCGTAAGTTGAGGACTGAGTGAATGTGGGGTCGGGTGCAACGCTGGGACTACATCCACGCTCTGGCATGGACTGAGGAAGCGAGGACAAAGGAGCGCAGCCACTCTCCCACGAGCTTGGCTGAGAACAGGCAAGGCCAGGGCAGCAGCGAGAGGGGCCCTGATCAGGAGGCCTCTGGGCCGTGGTGCTGAGTAACCATGGTGTCTAGAGGGTGGGTGGCTGGAGCGGATGGGAGAGTGGGAGGCCACTGCAGTGCCATGAGAAGAACGTGGATTATGGGGTTTGTGCTGGGGAGGGGGACAGCATCCTCGTGTTGTCATAAAATGGAGACAGATGATGGCACAGCCCAGCTCTGAGAGGGCTGTTGGGGGACTCAGTGAGAGCCCACGGGTGGCCTGCCACAGGCAGAGGCGCCAGCACTCAGCCCAGCCCGCCCCCTCTCTCTCCCTGACTTCTTTCCTCCTTCTTCCCTCTCTCCCCCTCCAGCCTGCCTGCCTTCCTACCTGTCTAGGACCAGCATCCTTCTCAGCCCGCAGTCCTGCCCCCATCTCCTCCCCACCCACTACCATACACACACAGATCGTATATAACACCATTTGTCAAGCATGGCCCATAGCTCCCGAAGGCAGTCGTCCCACAGCTCACCTGCTCTTCAGACATAATGGACAAGAGGCCCCAGGTCCCAGCTGGAGCCAACTGACCTTGGGCCACAGCTGTTCCTGATGGTCTCTGTCAATGACACTCATTTCCTCACCTGGGGCACCAGCGTGTGCAGCCGGACAACGCCATCATTCAACTCCACAAATAGCCATGAAGCCCTACTGTGTGCAGGGCACTGAGCCATGGAGCCCCAACTGTGTGCAAGGCACTGAGCCATAGAGCCCCTACTATGTGCAGGGCACTGAGCTATGGAGCCCCTACTGTGTGCAGGGCACTGAGCCATAAAGCCCTTAGTGTGCAGGGCACTGAGCCATGGAGCCCTGCTGTGTGCAGGGCATTGAGCCATAAAGCCCCTACTGTGTGCAGGGCACTGAGCCATGGAGCCCCTACTATGTGCAGGGCACTGAGCCATAAAGCCCCTACTGTGTGCAGGGCACTGAGCCATGGAGCCCTGCTGTGTGCAGGGCATTGAGCCATAAAGCCCTACTTTGTGCAGGGCACTGAGACATGGAGCCCCTACTATGTGCAGGGCACTGAGTCATAAAGCCCCTACTGTGTGCAGGGCACTGAGCCATGGAGCCCCTACTACGTGCAGGGCACTGAGCCATGGAGCCCCTACTACGTGCAGGGCACTGAGCCATGGAGCCCCTACTGTGTGCAGGGCACTGAGCCATGGAGCCCCTACTGTGTGCAGGGCACTGAGCCATGGAGCCCCTACTGTGTGCAGGGCACTGAGCCATGGAGCCCTGCTGTGTGCAGGGCATTGAGCCATAAAGCCCCTACTGTGTGCAGGGCACTGAGCCATGGAGCCCCTACTATGTGCAGGACACTGAGCCATAAAGCCCCTACTGTGTGCAGGGCACTGAGCCATGAAACCTTGCTGTGTGCAGGGCACTGAGCCATACCGCTCCAACTGTGTGCAGGGCACTGAGCCATGGAGCCCCTACTGTGTGCAGGGCAGTGAGCCATACAGCCCCAACTGTGTGAAGGGCACTGTCCCATGGAGTCCTACCACGTGTCAGGCACTGAGCCATAACACTCCTACTGTGTGCCAGGCACTGAGCCATGGAGCCCTACTGTGTTCCAGGCACTGACTAGACTGGTAGAAAGGCCTGAGACTCTGGAGCCTCACAGTCTCTGGAAAGACCACAGGACAGAAAAGTTTAATAACAGTCCACAATGCCAGTCAGGTTCTAGACAATAGTAGGAGAGATATCACAGGCATGATTAATTGCCAAAGTAATTGTATGGATAGCCATCGCTATAAAGGGCACAGACCAGGGAATGTCAGAGATGGAGGAATTAGGAAAAGATGGATGGGCTGCAGGCAGAATTAAGTTTGAGTTCAACCTCCACCACCGATGCTCCATGTGACTTAGAAAGTTGTCTTCCCTCCTCTCCACAGGCTCCATCTGCAGAGCGAGGGGCTATAGAGCGAGGTCACTGAGGTCCCTGCAAGCTCAGGTGTTTCAAGGCACTTAGGGCTACACTGGCCAGGAAGGTGCTAAGGGAGAAACAGACCATGAACCTTGCTCACTGATGCAACAGGAGTGGAACCTGGGCCGGCCCCACTGAGAAGCACCTGCCTCCACAATTGGGCCCTTCAACCCTGACTCCTATCTGGATAATACAACTATATACCTGATCAGAAATCTCCCGCTGACCAAGCTCCGTCCACACTCACACGCGTCATGTGTCATCACAATAACCCTGCAGGGTGGGTAGGACAGACCTCACCATCCTGATTTCACAAATGAGGAAACTGAGAAACGGGAGAAAAGGGCCTTGCCCAGGATCCCACGGGGAGTTAAAGGCAGAGCCCAGAGCAGGATGCCACTCTGCCGCTCCTCCAGAGGGTGTGCCGGAAAGGAATGGGGTGCTTCTGTTTTTCTGAGCGGCAGTCCACTCTCTCCCGCAAGATCCCCCCGTGTGTGTGGACACTGTGGATGTGCTACACACCAGCTGTGCTCTCATTTCAGGATCCGGCAGGCAGCCTCTTTGATTTGCTGCTAATTCTTTATTTAAAAAAGATTCACAACTCAATTACATCAGGTAACAGTTTCTAATACAAAACACAAACCCAATAAACATCTCTTCTGACCAGGGGACATGGATTTAGATGAGGAAAAAACAAAAAATTACAGCATCAGCTCATTGAGAGCAGTATCTTGTAATTTCCAGTAAATTGGAATCACTGCAAGTCATTTTCCCCACTTGAGTGGCAGGTATATTAATTTCTTGTTGTTTCTCAACCATCAGAAATAAATTGTTTACAAGGGATGGGAAGAAAGCTTCAGAGAGACAGGCTGAGGCTATTATCATAGCATGAGTTTGTGTAACGTGATTCACAGGGTGCAGGGGTCTTCAGAAGAGCTAAGGCTGCCCTGTGCTTTACACAGAGGTGGGCCCTGGGTGAAACTGAACAGCCTTGACCCCAAGCCCCCTTGGCCATGCCCTGGTTCGCCCACTTGGTCCCCTTCTGCCTCCCAGAAGTCACCCCCGGAAAAGGAGTGGACAGGCTCACCCATGGGGGCACATGATGACAGCAGCTGCCATTTGTCACTCACTGGCTACCCTCTGGGCTCTGAAGTAGGTCCCTTATAAGCATCATCTCATTTAATTATCATAACAGCCTTCCAAGGTAGGTATTATTATCCCCTTTTTATACATGAGGAATCTGGGCTCAGAGCGGGGGTAAATAATCACCCAAGGTCTCACAGCTAGTGAGTAACACTGGCAGGGCCAGGACTGGGGAGAGGTAAGCAAAGCACCTTGGGCAGAAAATTTAAGGAGGTGCTTCTTCTTGGGGTCAGTCGAGTGCAAGGTCCTCCCTGGGAGGGAGGCACCTCGCCGGGCTCAACCTACTCCTGGCCCTGAGTGGCAGAGCTGGGATCTGGATCCAGGTCTGTCTGCATTCAAGCCCTTGCTTTTCTACCTGTGGCACATCCCACTCCTAAGGCAATCAGTCCTGTAGTAGCAACTAGAAGCTTCCAGAGGAGTGAAGCTCTAATGGTGGAATTTCAGGCTTCAGGGGACTGATGAGGGAGCTACTCCTTCTAGGACTCCTGCAATTATTTCAGGTAGGCAGCTGCCTGCTCCCCCTGACTTTAAGCCAGCCCCTTGTCTGGGTTGGAAATGTGGGGCTGAGGCCACCACCCAGGAAAGTACAACCCAGCCACAGAAACCTGCTTGCCAAGCTCTGCTGTCTACTTTGGAATCTAGAGAGCTGACCCCAGCCCCGGGTCTCGCCTTGTGCTTTGCATGGGTTTGCAGTCTTCTCAAATTCGCTTTGTATGCCCATGAGAGCAGGGGTTCTTGTCTTCATTTTCTTCCTCAGTAGTGGACGTTGAGGCTCTGAGAAATTGACCATGTTGCCTCAGGTCACACAGCCAGAAGAACGGGGACAAGAACCAGCAGATGACTTGGAGCCCTGGGCTTTTTCCATCCCACCCCACCATCAAGAACTAGGTCAAGACATAGATGGGGCTGGCTCTCAGATGTGGTTGAGGGGAGCGGGGTGAGAAAAATAGCAAAGAAGGCTTAGGAAGGGTAAAAGGAGTCAGGAACAAACAACGTCTAAAATATAATAATTTGGCTAAATTTAAACATACGAAAGAGTTCAGAATGATTCATAATGCATGGTTGATGCAAATGACTATGCAAATGATGCCAAAAGGAATGGGCAGCATGACGCTTACCTCTCAACCACAGCAGGAGTGGGTAGGATGAGGACTTTGTCCTGGGCTGAAGTTTTCCAAGCAAACCACATCTTCAGGTGGAGATGACTTTTTTATGCAGCCTGACCAGGACTCAGAAACCTGGGGCAGTGAGCAGGACAGAGTTGGGGCCCATCCACACTGCTGTCCCTAGACTACAGGAAGCCGCCACATCGTCCCCTGCCCAGGTTCACTGAGCTAAATAATGCTGCTTCCTCTTACCTTTCACCAATAAGCCTTCCTTTTTCTCAGCCTTTTAATTATTGTTATCACCTTGTCCATTTCTCATGGATCAGGAGGGAGTGTTTGGCTGAGAGTCTGGGAATTAGGAGGGGCAAATAGCTTCTCAGACCCCTCTCTTTGTGCATCCCAGCAGCACATTGGGGAGGAAATGACCTCTAAGAGGGGATGTGCAAGGGTTTGGACCATAGCCAGCCACTGACTGGCTGTGTGGCCTCAGATGAGTTACTTAGTCCCTCTGAGCCTCAGTTTCCTCATTTGTCAAATGAGATTAATAACATTTGCCGTTTATGGCTATTGGGTGATGCCGTGTGCCTGTGAGCATGCATTGTGCCTGGCACATTGGAGGATGCTGGTAATCAGCCCACAGCCCTCTCCAAACCTACAGCCCTCAGCTTCCCCCTCCATCCACCTGCTGCAGCCAGACATACTTGAGGCTCCCTGCTTCTTCACTTCCGTTCACACAAGCCCCAATTCCCACCACCTCTTTCTGCTTGTCTCAGAGCCCTACCCATCTGCAAGCTCCATGTGAAGCCAACATCAGCCTTCCTCACCCCATCACCACACCCCACAACCACCTGTCGCAATCCCCCATCTCCCTCCTGGCCCTAAGCACCTGACGACCCTTATTTTGGCCAGAGATTTGCAGCTTCCCCGGGGCTTTCACCCATGAGCTCCTTTTGTTGGACTATCATGTTGTTTGGAATGAAAATGATTCTTCTCTTACTAGGAAAGGGGCTGGGGCTCAGAGAGGGCACAGGGGCAGGAAATGGCCCCACCTGATCAGGGAGCCCGGGAGCACTCCACTTTGCCTCCTCAACATAGCCACCCTATGGTGAGACTTCTCTTTTCATCATGAAGATCGTCTCCTCAGTTTCTTTGTGAGCTCTTGAAGAGCCTGGAGCTATCTCAGGTTCACAACGCCTTACACCGCTCCCAACATTCAATAAACTCCCATCAATGCCCAGGCACTCACCAGGGCAATGGGCACTAGATTCTCCATTTGCATTCCATGAAGACCTCAGTTCCTTGCCTGCCATGTTCGCAAACAGCCTCTGCAGAAGGGCCGTGGGCTCTGCCTTGTGAGAGCTCCGGGAGGCCCCTCACACACTTGGAAGAAGGGACATTTCCTGGAACTGTAGATAAAGGAGCTACTATGTGCACATGGGCAAAACTGCCTTGCATCTCTTCCTGGTTTTTTGTAAAAGACCTTGGATCTGAATACACATGGATGTGAAAGTCTGCCGAGTCCCATACCCTGGCAGCTGGTCCCTGGGGACACATTTGTTAGCTGGTGCGTTAGCTGTCTTCAAGACATGCCGCTCTTCTGATATGGTTCAGAAGAGAGTTCTTTTCTCCCCATCCTTGCTTGACTTCATTGCAGCAACCTAAGAGGCAGCAGAAATCATCTCCCATCCCCACACTCTGTTTTTATTTTCATCATGATGGGTTGTTTGTTTGCACACATATTTCTCCAGGAGGAGTTACCAGTGAGATGGGAATAGACAGTCGGCTCATATACACTGCTCTCCTCAGTCATTCTGTGAGGAACCTCCTTGTTTCCAGACCCCATGGGGAGACTTTACAACTTTGTACCAAGTCAATTATGGCTACTACCGTCATTAATAATAATAATAATTAACTAATACTAATTGAGTGCTTATTACATGTCAGCCACAATTCTAAGACCACATGTCTTAATTTCTTTAATCCTCATAGCACATGTAGGCTAGGAGGCAAGTTCACTTATTATCCCCATAGTATAGATGAGGAATAGGGAAGTTACTTGTCTAAGGTCACATGAGTCCATTGATCTGGGACAAGGAGAGAAAACCATAATGAGGAAATCCTAGGTATTCAGAAAGCCATCACCCCAATATGCCACATTCATATAGTCTCCTCTCTCTCTCTCTCTCTCTCTCTCTCTCTGCTGTTTCCCTCTCTCTCTCCCCTCCTTCTCTCCCTTCTTCCCTCCCTCCTCCCTGCCCTTTTCCTCTCTTTCTCTCTTGCACCCTTTACTAGTCTTTCACCTTCTTAGTTCTGTGACTGAGGCAACTCCCTGTCCCTCTCTAAACTTGATCGTCCTTTCCTGAAGTGGGGGAGAAGAATCCCTTTCTGCAGGGACTGATATGGGGGAGAACCCTCAGACCACGATGGCGATGTGCTTAGCCCACTGGAAGCTGCTGGGTTGGCAGGAAGGGGGACAGTCTTCATACCACAGCGGGAGCCAACGTTCTTTGTCCCATTGCAGCATCTCGGGCTACGGAGCTGCTGGCGGGAAAGGCGGGAAGAACACCATGATGCGGTCCCACGGCGTGTCTGTGCTGGGCATCTTCAACCTGGAGAAGGATGACATGCTGTACATCCTGGTTGGGCAGCAGGGAGAGGACGCCTGCCCCAGTGTAAGTGCCCAGAGCAGGGGTTTCTCGTCTGCACTCTGTCAGGCCCCGGGAAGGCCTCTTGGAGGCACCAACACTCAACACCCTCCTCCTGGAAGTTCATACCAGGAGAATGAGACAGCAAAGAGTAATTAAACAGCAGCTTTGCAAACTCCCAGCACCCCAGTGGTTCACCTCTTGCCTGTGCTAGGGGGAGGCAGGACCTGGCAGAGCTGGCCATCCTAGCAGGAACTCAGCACCCTGCCAGGTGAATCTCCTGGTTGGGCCAGGCTCCCCCCCTCCCTCACCTGAAGCACAGCTTTTGCTTGGGAAAAGGGGCCAAAGCAGACAGCTATGTTCTAGCACCCAGGACCCCCAGCTCCTTCTCCAGAAACTTATTTGAGAACATCCTTGGCAGAGAGATATGGGAAGAGGGGCTACCGAGAAAGCAGTTTACTTCCACAAAATAAATTCAGGGCTCCTAAGAGCCAGGCCCTGGGCTAGGAGCTGAGGAAGCATGAAAAGTAAAGTTCAGTTTTTCCCTTCTGCTCCTTCGGGGTTAAGGTGAAACGACAGGAGTAAGCTTAGCAAGTGCAACCTTTTGCATAAAAAATGTCTCAACTCCAACTTTTATTTAGCAACTATAATTGGGACTTTCCAACCTAATATAATATATTAAGCCATTAAATTACAGGCTGCTATAATTTTCACGGGAATTTATTGAGTGCTAATGTAATTCCTTCATCTAAGCAGAAAGATTGCATTATCTTCTGCAAGGGACTTTCACTTGATTGGACTGTAATCAGTTATGTCTTTTCACGGGACCGCGTCTTTTTTAAAAATTCAATTGAAATCTAGTTGTTCCTCGGGGTTGCTGCACTTTATCATTTTTATTAATCAATCTACTAGCTCTCAAACTTTGTGGATGCACAGGAAGTTCCCAAGCAGGCAGGAGGAGGCGATTCTGGGCCAGGAACAGAGGGCAGCTCACTCTGCTGGTTGGGCAAGGCATAGCAGGGGCATGTGGGGAGAGTGACTGGTCTTCGCTGTGGCTTCACATCTCCACCTCTGAGGAGGCACTTGGAAAGGGGGAAAAATGGCGGTTGTCAGGCACTACCTCCATCTCCAGTTCTCACTAGGCAGAAAAAATGGTGTCTAGACACAATTCTCAAGATAATGAAGTGGACTCTAAGAATTAAACTGCAGGGGCCGGGTGCGGTGGTTCATGCCTGTAATCCCAGCAAGTTGGAAGGCCAAAGCGGGAGGATCACTTGAGGTCAGAAGTTCGAGACCAGCCTGGCCAACACAGCGAAACCATGTATATACTAAAAATACAAAAATTAGCCAGGTGCGGTGGTGCACACCTGTAGTCCCAGCTACTCAGGAGGCTGAGGCACGAGAATCACTTGAACCCAGGAGGCAGAGGTTGCAGTGAGCCAAGATCGCACCACTGCACTCCAGCCTGGGCAACAGAGCAAAACTCTGTCGCAAAAAGATTAATAAATAAAAAATAATTAAACTGCCGGATGTGGCAGCTTTGCTGGTTCAACTGCACATCTATGGGGGCAGCGGGGAGTTGCCCTTCTATGTACCCGGCCACACTGGAGCTCCTGTGCTGGAAATGGGCTCCAGCTGCTAGAATCCTCCACCCCACCCCCAAACACAGCACATGTGCACATACACAGCCCTCCGTCTTTGCTTCTCCAGTGCCTCCCAAACCTCGCCTGGTGGCATGAGTCTAAATCAGGCTTTCTCAACAGTGGCATTATTGGCATTTTGGAGCAGGTAATTCTTTGTGGCTAGGGGCGGGGATCTGTCCTGTGTATTACAGGATGTTTAGCAGCATCCTTATCCTTTACTCACTTGGTGCCAGTAACAGCCCCCAGAAATGACAATCACAAAAGCCTCCAGACACTTCCAAATGTCCCCTAGGAAGCCAAGTCTGTTCTAAATGTTAAATTCCACCATTACCATCCCCTGCAAGGCAAATATTGTGAAGAGCCAGCCCACAATCCAGACAGCACTCAATTCATTCAAATTTATTTAACCAATATTTATTGAGTACCTACTTAATGCCATCCCTGTTACAGGAACTTGGGATATATTGGTGAACAAAAGAAAGATCTTTGCTCTCAAGGAACTTACATCTGAGGAGAGGGAGGGGGAAATATCTGGGGAAACAGTGACCCCAGCAAAGGCCATGTCCCAGAGGTTCATCGATGCTCAAGGAACACTCGGGCTGGAGGAGAGGGAGCCAAAGGAAGGGTAGGTAAGAGATAAGGCAGAGGTAATAGGGCTGGATCAGGCCACTTTAAGGCATGTTGGAGCCATAGGAGGGTTTTGAGGCAAATGGTGACATAATGTGGTATGTGTGTTAAAAAGCTCACTCTGGCTGCAATGTGAAGAATCTACCATAGAAGAATCTATGGACACAAGGGAAGGGTCAAGACAATGAATTCAAGGGCTATGGCATTAATCCTGGCAAGAGATGATGATGGCTTAGACTAGGATTGTAACAGTGGAGGGGATGAAAAGTGGTTGAATTCTGGGTGTAATTTGAAAGTCAAATCCAAAAGGATTTTCTGCCAGATTGAATGAGAAATTAAGAGAAAGAAAAGAGTCAAGGATGACTCCAAAAATTGTGCCTGAGCCACTGGAAGAAGGGAGCTGCCATCACCTGAGTTAGGGAACACTGTGGAAGGAGCAAATCTGGGGGCAAGATCAGGAGTTCAATATCAGACATGCTGAGTTGTAGAGGCCTGGTAGACAGCCACAGGCAGACAGGTGGACGATGGGAGACAGGCCGCTAGAGTTCAGGAGAGAGGTCCAGGCTGGGGATATAAATATTGGAGAAATTAGCATAAATTTGAGACAGGATGAGATTGCCTAGGATGCAATACGGATAGAGAAGAATGTGAAGACCGAGCTTAAGGGACCCTCAACATTTAGAGGTCAGGAAAAGAAGAGGAACCAGCAAAGCGGGACAAAGAAGAGGAACCAGGGAGGTAGGAGAGGATGCAAGAGGATGGGGAGTCCTGGAAGTCATGTGAGGAAAGGGCGGCAGCTCCTCCAAATGCTGCTACTGGTCCAGCAAGAGCCTTGACCGCTCCCCACCCCCACCTGATCTAAAGGAGACATCAGAAGCAGGGGTGCGGGGGATGAGCATGGGTCAGAAAAGATCTTTCTCTTGTTCACCAATATATCCCAAGTTCCTGTAACAGGGATGGCACAAAGTAGGTACTCAATAAATATTGGTTAAAGAAATTGGCTCTAACTACAGGAAAGCCCATCCTCAAGCCCCACTGCTGTCTCCTCCCCATCCCAGCAATCTCTGGATCTGTTCATGAGGGGAGGGCATCACCTAGGGGTGGAGGTCCCACTGCTGCCCGCAAGCCAAGAGGGGAGATGGAGCAGAGGCCGACGGGGTGGACCTTCTCAGCACCACTGGTTCAGACTGGGCAGCCCCTCCATCTCCAGATGAGGAGGCAAGTCCAGGGAGGCGGGGTGCCTCACCAAGTATAGCCCAGCAAATCTCCAACAGAGCTGTCAAGAACCCAGACTGAGCAGGGTGTGATGGCTCATGCCCGTAATCCCAGCACTTTGAGAAGGCTGAGTCAGGAGAATCGCTTAGTTAGTGACTAGCCTGGGCAACACAGCAAGACCCTGTATCTAAAAAAAAAAAAAAATACAAAAATTAGTCAAGCATGGTATTTCGTACCTGTACTCCCAGCTACTCAGGCGGCTGAGGCAAGAGAACTACTTAAAGCCAGGAGTCAGAGACCAGTCTGGGCAACATAGCAAGACCCTGTTTCTTAAAAAAAAAAAAAAAAAAAAAAAAAAAAAAAAAGTCGAGCCTGGTAGCTTGTGCCTGTAGTCCCAGCTACTCTGGAGACTAAGGCAGGATGATTACTTGAGCCCAGGAGTTCGTGGCTACAGTGAGCTATGATCATGCCACTGCACTCCAGCCTGAGTGACAGAGTGAGACCCTGTCTCAAAAGAAAGAACCCAGATTGGACCCTGAATCCTGTGCTCTGCCCAGCTGACAGCTCACATCCCTCAGACCCATCCCCAGGGCCAACCCTCAGGGCACATTCCCTGCAACTCACGCCTGTGCCAGGTGGCAGTGAGCAGGGTCTCCTCCCAGGAGTCTCCCCCCAGGCCAGGACATAGCTGCACATACATATGGGAAATGCCAGCTCTCTACAATAGCAATTCAGAGCCTTCCACCCACACTAGATCCACTCTAAGAAATATCAAATTATTTCCATCGTTAAATCCAAAATTCCATGAAACAAACTGCATCTCGGCTATTTATCTGGAAATTTCTGTAGTACTCATTGCCGGCACCCCTGAGCGCTTTAGCGTAAGAAGTGGCTCAAGAAGAATGGCTGCATCCACTAGCTGGTTACGAAGCAGCATCGATGGAAATGTGATGTTTTACTGGCTTTTTTTCTATTAAGTGAAAGAAAAGTCACTTTCCTCCAAGGTCAGGCTGATGTTTGAAGAATTCGTCTGAGCTGTGGTGGCCGACAAGCAGGCGTGGCTGTTTTTGAAGCACCATCCTACTTCTTCAGGGATTCCAGGATTCTGTTACAGAAATCTCCAGCACAATCCTGGGGACTCTCTAATACCTGAGCCCCAACCAGGAGCATATGTGGGCCCAGAAGTGAATCTAAATTAGAACAGCAGCTGGCTGGGCACGGTGGCTCACGCCTGTAATCCCAGCACTTTGGGAGGCCAAGGCAGGCGGATCACCTGAGGTCAGGCGTTCAAGACCAGCCTGGCCAACATGGCAAAACCCCTCCTCTACTAAAAATACAAAAATTAGCGGGGCATGGTGGTGTGCACCTGTAGTCCCAGCTGCTTGGGAGGCAGAAGTTGCAGTGGGCCAAGGTCGTGCCATTGCACGGAGTAAGATGGCAAAAACAAACAGATAAGAACAGCAGCCATTTACTCAGTTCCCACCATGTGTGAGGCGCTCCACTAGATGCCTGAGGGTAGTACTTGTACTACGCTCAGTAAATGCCACAACGACCTGTGTTGTCTTCATTCGCAGCCACACTGGAAGATCAGAGATCGAGGGCCCCTGTCACAGTTTCCCAGGGTGGGTGGAGAATCCAGACTACCTGATTGCAGGGCTCACTCTACAAGGCAAGCAGAGGGGTGTGCCAGGGATTCCGGAGGGAAAAAATGGAACATTAGCTAGGAGGAATGAGATGTCCAAAAGGGAGAACTGATCTTCCCAGAGAAGAACTGGGAATAAAACTTGAGTCTGGCCTCTTGCTGGTTTTTTTCTCTCCTCCTGATGCTTCAGAACTGTGACTTCTCAGAAAACCTCGATGGCTCTCAGTGAGAGAACGGCTCTCATAGAGAATGAAGTCCACTCCTTGCAGTGCCTTCAAGGCCTCTAGCCATGATCACACTGTTCCGTTTAATTCTCTCTACCCACCTAATTTACGCTCCCTCCAGCCCCATCTCACCACATAGGACCTTTCCCATTCTTTCTTGGATCTCTTCATCCCACAGGATCGAAACAGGTCCTGGACAATCTCTCTGTCCTGATAGACTTCTGGGCCAAAGAGACCCTTGTGCTTTTCCCCCACGCACCCCACTCACCCACTTCCCTCTGGGCTCATGCCACTCTCTGCTCTTGGAATGACATAACTTTGCCCCACTCTCTGTGAAAAAAACAAAAACAAACAAAAAAAAACTCCCTATCCTTCAAGGCTCAACTAAAAGCCGCCTCCTACAAGCAGTCCTCACAGCAATAAAACCTTGCTCTCTCTCTCCCAGTTTCTCCTAGCATTTTCTGTCTAAGCTATCCTTGTGGTCCTTCCCTAACACTGCCCAGAGTGACAGTTATTGGTATATTTTTCTGCCTCCTCAACTCAACTGTAAGTTTTTTGAGAGAGAGTCAGATCCTGTTTTTAAGCATAGAAGTTCTGTCTGCTGCAAAGTGGAGAACTCTGGTTTGGCCACAAACCTAACGTGCTTTTTGTTTCTACAGACAAACCAGTTAATCCAGAAAGTCTGCATTGGAGAGAACAATGTGATAGAAGAAGAAATCCGTGTGAACAGAAGCGTGCATGAGTGGGCAGGAGGCGGAGGAGGAGGGGGTGGAGCCACCTACGTATTTAAGGTATGGTGTGTGCTGCCAGATTTCCACCAGGTTCCTGTGCATCTGCAATGTCAGAGCCTCATGACAGCCCTGGGATAGAAACACCTCAGATGCTCTTATCCCCGTGTAAAGATGAGCAGGGCCAGGTACAGTGGCTCATTCCTGTAATCCTAGTATTTTGGGAGGCCAAGGCAGGAGGATCACTTGAGGTCAGGAATTCACGATCAGCTTGGGCAACATACCAAAACGTTGTCTCTACCAAAAAAAATTTAAAAATTAGCCAGTTTTGGTGGCTTGCACCTGTAGTCCTAGCTACTTGGGAGGCTGAGGCAGGAGGATCATTTGAACCCAGGAGTTCAAGGCTACAATGAGCTGTCATCACGCCATTGAACTTCAGCCTGAGCAATAGAGCAAGACCCTGTCTCTAAAACCAACAAAAGAATTAAAAAATAAAGATGAGCAGACTGAGATCCAGAGAGATATAGAGTCTGTCTGTCCAGGAAAGGGTAGAACTCTTCTCTTACTGATACATCAGCCCAATTTCACCATGCACAGCCTTTGCCATCCTACTTTCAGAGAGTCCCACTGTGCCCTCCTGGACCAGCTCTCTGCCCTAAGGTGGACTTTGCTGACATCATCACAGCCAGGCCAGAAACTGAAGACAGAGGCCACCTGCTAGGTCCTCCCACAGGACTGTGATGCTGAGGGCTTAACCTTGAATCTTTGGGGGTCAGAGCCAGAGACCCCTAAGAATGAGGGAGAGAGAGCATAGAGAGACCTGCTTCTAATCACCAGCATCCAGACCTCTGAGGCCAGTCTAAGGAGCTTCAGGAAAGGGGCTAGAGGAAGTAGAGGAAGCAGCCTCTAAGATCAACCCCCACCTCCTGGTATCTATATTTTGCTCTTGGTATATAGGTCTTGCTTCTCTGGTTGAACCCTGACTGATAGAGAAGCTGGCGGAGCCGATGGGCTATTGTAACAAGGGTTCAGAGCCCGCAAACCACCTCAGACCACTGAGAGGTCACCAGGTCACCCCAAAACAGCAAACCCTCAGTCAGGTTGAATTTACCAGAGCTTAGGGGCTCCAGGGGGAAGCACAGCTCGGTTTCTCAATGTCTGAATGTCTCCCCTGGTCAGATGAAGGATGGAGTGCCGGTGCCCCTGATCATTGCAGCCGGAGGTGGTGGCAGGGCCTACGGGGCCAAGACAGACACGTTCCACCCAGAGAGACTGGAGAATAACTCCTCGGTTCTAGGGCTAAACGGCAATTCCGGAGCCGCAGGTAAAGCGCTGCAAGCGTGCCCTCTCCCAGAACCTCTCCCAGGCCTTCAGCTGGGCCCCGATGCCATCGCATGCCTGAGGGCATCTTAGTCACTGGCACCTGGGATGCTAGGAGCTCTGAATATTGGTACCGATATCCAGGGAGGGAGGGCAGGCAGCACCCTGGGAGCCCTGCAGGCCATCTTGCTGACCTGGAGCTTGGACTTGTAGAAGGTCACTGAGAAAGTGAGGCAGGGAGCAGCCGTCAATCAGCCAGCTGGCCCTCCCTGCAATTGTTAGAGCCTCCCCCTGAGATTCCTTCTTCCTCCAGGGGCAGATGGGCCCCCCAGTTAGGATATGAGCAGGTGAAAAAAATCTGGGCAATGTCAGGCCTCCTAGACCCCCATGGTACAGACCTCCAGGCCCTGGGCTGCCAGACCCAAGCGTATCCCCGCTGGAAAATCTCTTACTTGACTCTCCACGGCTGAGCTCTCCTCCCTCATTAATGGGAGCCAGAAGCACAGAAATGTGAGACAGGCAGGGAAGAGAGTGTCAATTCCCTGATTCCTCTAAAGTCAGCCACCCCTAAAGACAGAAAATGCAATTCCTTTTTGTATTTTCTTTTCCACACAATCAGACTGTGGGAGGATCTTAGAAGGCATTTAAGATTTGGGATTAATTAAAACAAATGTGCAAACTGTCTCTCAATTGAGAGACGGCTAGAATAGAAGAGTAGAAACAGTCATGGGTCCACCCTGAGGATCTCCAGTGACGTTTGCAGCACCGAGGCCCAGCACCCGAGAAACCCTGAAGCACCTCTGCCTCTGTTGCACATGTGCTGTCAAAACAACCTGCAGGTTTCCAGGCAGATACCATTCCTGTTTTACAGGAGAGCCAATGGGCTCACCAAGGCATGATGACTTTTTTTTTCTCAACAGGGCCGAGCTGTTTAGTGATAGAGACAATTTTTGTTTTTTGTTTTTTGTTTTTGAGACGGAGTCTCGCTCTGTCACCAGGCTGGAGTGCAGTGGCACGGTCTCGGCTCATGCCACCTCTGACTTGCAGGTTCAAGCGATTCTCCTGCCTCAGCCTCCCGAGTAGCTGGGATTACAGGCACACGCCACCACGCCCAGCTAATTTTTGTATTTTTAGTAGAGACGTGGTTTCTCCATGTTGGTCAGGCTGGTCTCAATCTCCTGACCTCAGGTGACCCACCTGCCTCGGCCTCCCAAAGTGCTGGGATTACAGGCGTGAGCCACCACGCCTGGCCAGACTCAATTCGTATTTTTAAAACACCGTTGTTCTGATTTTGATATGGGTTATTTTCCTTTCCACACATTTGCTCGAAGGCTGCAGAACGGGTATGGGGGTCAGAAACCTCCTCAGCTGGGGGCTGAGCAGGATGAAAGCACAGCGCATGGTCTCCGTCCATCTCGTTCTGATTTATTTATTACGCGCTTACTCACAGCCGTGCACAAACACCAGCGCCAACTTCTGGCCCCTAACGCGCCTAAGGGGCCTTCTCTCTGCCACATGACAACAGCCTTGACAGGCCCACACCCTCCCCTGAGAGCAGAAGGGAGGACAGCGAAACAAACCCAAGCTCAACACCCACCCCTGGAGGTTTCATGGCTAACAAAGTCCCCCCAGCTTGCCTGATGGCCTCGCCTCAGCTCTGCTTGTCCCCATTCTAGATTCAAGCTTGTTCCTGACCTCAGCTTCATTTTCAAAACCTGGCTTCCTCTTTCTAGCAAGACAGTCATCCCACCTACAGGTCCCTCTGGGTCCCAAAGAATCTGGGCCACAAGTGCTTCCAGAAACCCTGCCAGGCCGGTTCACCCGTAGGGTTCCGGCAGACACACACACTGCTGTTTCTGCCTTCCACCATCAATTTCCAGGTCCCCAGCATGCATCATCTGCTGCAGCAGAAAGGGTTTTAGGGTTTTTAGAATACCTCCACCCTTTCCTATCCATCAGTTCTGCGTTCGTGGGATTCAACCAACCACAGATCAAAAATACTCAAAAAAAAAAAAAAAGATGATTGTGTCTTTACTGAACATGTACAGACTTATTCCCTAAATAATACAATAACTATTACATAGGATTTACCCTGTATTGGGTATTATATGTAATCTAGAGATGATTTTTTTATAGGAGAATGTGCAAATACTATGCCACTTTATATAAAGGGACATTTATTTTGGTGTGATGGAGGGATCCTGGAACCTCCACAGATACTGAGGGACAACTGTAGATGTCTATTCAAATGTCCTATGGAACAGTAGGCATAGGGGATATCCTGGAATCTCAAAGGTTAGCAGAAGAGATTTCTTGTGGTCAACCTGTGGCTACATTCAACCTCGGCTCTGTAGATAGCTTCCTTTGTAAGAGCCCAAAGCAGCCCCAGGCATTGGGAAGCACAGCCCTGAGGCTGCCTTTGTTGCCAGGGTATCGTCCACCCACCAGGGCTTCTGCTCCTGACCTTGGAGCAGTTCCTGAGCGCCTGGCCCTGGAGAACCTCTAAGCAGGCTGAGCCCAGGTGTGAGGCTGTCTGCACGCGTGTGTTCTGCCTCTCGAGCCCCTGACGCTCCCCACCCCTGGCAGTTTGTGGAGCATTTCGTACACTCACTGTCTCCTTTGAGCGGAACATCAACCCCATCAGGTGGGTCTTATTATCCCCAAGCCACAGGTGAGGAAACACAGGCTCAGAATGGGGCGTTCTTCCCCAGGGTTTCACAGACAGCAACGGGCTCTCTGGTCAGCCTAGTCCAGGATTCCTGCAAGGAACTTTAGTGCAAGGTTTTGACATGTGGCTGCTCAAAGACTGGTGAGTCCCTTTTCTCGTTAGGACGGGAGGCAGTTAATGAAACGAAGGTCCAGTGCTACGGGGCTTGGCTGACATGAAGAGAAGATAGAGGAACGAGTTTAGTCGCCATGCTGCCTGTCTGCCCACGTCCCCCCATCCTTAACCAAGCACAGCCCCTGCTTTTGAGCCAGAGAGTACTGGCAGGAAGCAGGGGTACAAGGCACGCTCTCATCTGGGTGTACTCAGCTGTGGCCAAACAGGTCTCCTAGGGCAAGCAGCCTCCTGGTTTTCCTAGTGTGGATCTGAAGCCCCCAGGCCCCACTGAAGATGGGCCCCGGGAGCTGGAGCTGGTGCGGGCGCCCTCCAAGGCGTCCTGCATCCTGCTTCTCTGGCCAGCATGGCTAATTGAACCTTGCCAGCATCCTCACGCAGGTTCCCTATCTCTTCCCGCAGGTGGTGGAGGTGGCTGGAATGATAACACTTCCTTGCTCTGGGCCGGAAAATCTTTGCAGGAGGGTGCCACCGGAGGACATTCCTGCCCCCAGGCCATGAAGAAGTGGGGGTGGGAGACAAGAGGGGGTTTCGGAGGGGGTGGAGGGGGGTGCTCCTCAGGTGGAGGAGGCGGAGGATATATAGGTAAAGATGATTCGTGTTCAAGGTGTCACTCCCTCCCTGCTTAGTCCTAGGCTCCTCACCTCCCTGCCCTGCCCTCCCCTGCCCTCCCCTGGCCTGCCCAAGTGTGGACTGTGATGTGACTGCACGCCTCCCTCTCGACCTGCCTGGACCAGCCAGAGGCAGGGTGCTGGCTTTCGAGCCAGCACCCTGCCTCCAGGCTTCCTCAGCGACAGCATCAAGATCCCATGTGATTCTTGATGTCCCCCAAAGTCGATGATAAAGAGGCTTTGGCTTGCCAGACTAGTCTCTGAGTCACCCATAAGGACTCCCCCAGCCTCCCTTGGATGGCCTGGCCAAGCCAGCTCCTGAAGGGGCTGGTTTGTGGTTTCATGGACTCCTTACTCCTGCTCCCTACCTCAGCCCACCAGCTTCCTGAAAGGCGCCGCTGTGCCTGCTGATGGGAGCTATTCCCGAGGGCAACTGCAGGCAGGCTTAGCCCAGCCCTTCAGCAAGCAGCTGCCCATTGACCCCAGCTGCCTCGTCTGGGCTTCAGAGCACAGTCAGCAGAGCCTTCTGAAGCTGAGAGGCTGGGAGACGATGGCTCCCCGCTCCCCACAGATTAGGACGAATGCATGCATGCTCTGTGGTGTTCGTGTCTGTGTTTTGCATTGACGCTGTGTGTAAGATGCTTGTGTTAACCACATGCTCTTCTTTTCCAAGCTGGGTGGGTGGGAGGAGCCCGAGGGGGGAGCCCAAAGATAGCCCAGCCCCAGATGAAAGGAGGGACGGGAGCCTCAGGGCACAGGGGCTCATTTCCCGCAATCCGCACAGCCCGCCACACCCCAACCCTGACCCAATGGGGCTGAAGAGCAACTCTTCAGTGCTACCATCCTGACCAGTCCTGGGAGAGGCACCATGGGCATATCCCAGCCTGGAAAGACTAGAACTTTTTGGACTCTTGCTCACATTAACCACTTCTTAGTGGGCCACCGGCAGAGTGGGAGCTGGCCTGGACCTGAGGGGAAATTAGCCACACACCCAGCATCTACTGAGCCAAATCCCACATGCAGCCTCTGTGCCCTGAGCCTCCCTTCCCTCCCCGCATCCCTGCCCCTGAGGTCCCCAGTGACCCCCTAACTTTGGCCAGAGCTGCATGCCCCACTGACGTGTGTGTGTGTTAAGATTTTGGCACCCACCCCCCATGTTAAACTCTGCTCTGGTTTGCTACTCAGGCGGCAATGCAGCCTCAAACAATGACCCCGAAATGGATGGGGAAGATGGGGTTTCCTTCATCAGTCCACTGGGCATCCTGTACACCCCAGCTTTAAAAGGTAGCTTCTCTGCCAGGCAGCAGAACAAACTTGCTTAGGTCAGTCCTCCCACCAAGCTAAAACCTCAGAGTCTCTGACCTGTATCCAGGATACAGAGGCACAATTATGGGTCCCTGGCAGGCAAGCTTCCTATGGCGCAGGTCACCACATTTTCCAGAAGTCAGGATGTGTGCTTTAATATGAATGCAGAGGCAGAATCCTAGGAAATGTAACAGTAATAGCCCAATACCTGCACCAGCCAACCTAAAGATCATGTGCGTGGGCTTCTCTCCACCACTGACTCAAAAGCAAACATCCATAGACACCCATGCCCGCTGCCTCCGCTGCACTCTCTATATGCACAGGAAGACTCTTCTACACAGTTGTGCTTCCAGTGGCTATGGGACCTAGGAACAGGGACCACCAGAGCACCCACAGTGACCACCTGGAGACATAGTACTGAGGCTGGGAGTGGGGAGGCAGGCTCGGCCCAAGACTGACCCTCCCTCCTTGTCACTAGTGATGGAAGGCCACGGGGAAGTGAATATTAAGCATTATCTAAACTGCAGTCACTGTGAGGTAGACGAATGTCACATGGACCCTGAAAGCCACAAGGTCATCTGCTTCTGTGACCACGGGACGGTGCTGGCTGAGGATGGCGTCTCCTGCATTGGTAAGGGGGCAGGGCCAGGGGAGGCAGAGGGGCCCATAGCCTGAGATTTGGCCCATGACCACAAATGGTTTCTGGGTTCCAGAACACCCTGGATTCGGTTTTGTAAACTTTCTGTCCCTCCCCTACCTGCCACAGCTCGAGTGCTCTGACCACTGTGTGAAAGGTGGGTCATGGCTCCTGAAGGAGTCTTAAAAATCCTCTACTATAGAATAAGCCCTCTACCACCCCCACCAAGGGGCCATCCTGCCTCCACTTAAACATGCCCAGTGACAGGGATCTTACTGCTCCTAAGGTTCTCTGTTCCCTTGGGCAGTTTCAGAGCTGGGGACCTGTTGCCTTAACCTTCCTCTCCTAGGTTTCCTTACAGCAGCAGCTGTGCATGTGCAGTGTTTGAAGACAGTGCTCCCATTCTCCTCCTCTTTTTTTTTTTTTTTTTTTTTTTTGAGGCGGAGTTTCACTGTTGTTGCCCAGGCTGGAATGCAATGGTGTGGTCTCGGCTCACTGCAACCTCCGCTTCCCAGGTTCAAACAATTCTTCTGCCTCAGCCTCCTGAGTAGCTGGGACTACAGGCGCCCACCACCATGCCAGGCTAATTTTCATATTTTCAGTAGAGACAGGGTTTCACCTTTTGGCCAGGCTGGTCTCAAACTCCTGACCTCAGGTGATTCACCCGCCTCGGCCTCCCAAAGTGCTGGGATTACAGGTGTGAGCCACCGCACCTGGCCCCATCCTCCTCCTTTAACTCTTCTTCAGACTAAATAACCCATTTGTTTGCAGCAGTTCATACAAGATGCAGTTTTGTGTCTCTTCCCCCGCCCCACCAGTGTCCCTCTTCTGCATGTGTTCCACTATCGATGTCCCTTTTGAAATGTAGTGTCCAGTACCAAGCACGATACCTCCGTGTGGTCTGGCCAGCAGAGGGCACAGGACCCCTCCCCACTGTGAGCCCAGTGCCTCAGGGCCACAAGGAAGTAACTTAGCCTCAGAGGGTGTTACTTACAGCGCACCCTGTTGTTTGGTCACCTGCGGCCCCCACATCTCTTCCAGATCCACTTTCGTTTCACCTTCCATCCTCACCCCATAGTTGTGCAGCTCATGTTTCAAACCAACATCCCGCCACTGATATTCATCCCTGTTAAATTTCCCTTCACCCAAAAGCTACTGCTAAAAGCCTGTCAAATCGGGATGAGTCTGGTCCTGCTCATGGTCCCCTGAAAAGAAAAGTGTGACAAGGTCTCCAGCGATGGGAAGGAGCAAGTAGTTTTTGTCTCAGTGGGGGAGGTTATTTCTGACTTGGGACCAACTCAAAGGAGACCTGGTGTGGTTGTCAATACCCCAGTGGGACCTGTCTTCCAGTGTCACCCACCCCGGAGCCACACCTGCCACTCTCGCTGATCCTCTCTGTGGTGACCTCTGCCCTCGTGGCCGCCCTGGTCCTGGCTTTCTCCGGCATCATGATTGGTGAGTGCACAGAGCCCCAGGGACTCCCAAGGGGGCAGGAAGGCAGGACTGAATAGTGTCTCAGGCTGTGCCACAGGTGCCAAGGTGTCACTTCGTTATGCTAGTCCCTGGAATTGGGTGGGGTGGTGATTAGGGCAGCCCAGGCCAAGCCAAAACGGAAGCTCCCAACCTTCCCCCCACCAGAGCAGCTGCAGTTCCCTGAGGAGCCCCTGATTCTGCACCTCAGCCCCGTGTGTATCCTCCTGGCTGATCAGGGGGTGGGGAGCTCCTTCAGTGTCCATCACGATGGTGAAAGCTCGCCCCCACCCCTAGACGTCACTTCTAGCTCCCACATGCTTCCACCGGCGCAGCTCCTGTTTGGCTCCCACCCTATGTAATGCACTAGCCCACTCTTCCCCAAACCAGCCCTCCACCACCCTCCAGGCAGAGAGATAGGAAAATCGGTTTCTGAGTATATTTCTGTTCAGCCTGTGAGCCAAGGTGAGCTGACCTGCAGGTCACAGAGAACTCAGTGTGGTCCCAACCAGCTCTTACTGCTGGCAGAGACATGCCCAGGACAGATGGGCAGAGGCTTGAAAAGGGCAGAGGGAAAGGCTCTTGAGAGCCCTCGCAGGCCAGGCCCCTGCAGGCAAAGGGATCTGCCGGTAGAAGGGAGATGGCAGCACACACTGTGTCCCCATATGGTGCCATCCCTCAAAGGGACAGGATAATAGGAGCTAACACTTGTTGCATGGTTACTACGTGCTCGGCAATTTACACATTTCAATTCATTCGATCCTCAGGTAACCCTAATCTGATCACGGTCGGTCCATTGCATAGAGGAGGGAACTGAGCACATAGCGGGTGACTCATTTGCCCTGGCCCATGTGTTGGGGGGCTGGGCTTTACACACAGAATCTACCCACTGAATCACAATTTTGTTCTGGCTTCCATGGAGTTTGCCTTCCAGAACATCCTCACATGTAGGAGTGATAATGGTCACTCACATTGGTAGAGCTCTTTAGGATTTTTCAAAACCATTTTATGTTGGTGAATTCATTTCATTGACAACCCTAGAGGGTGGGGAGTGGCAGTGGTTAGGGAAACAGGGCAGGAGTTACCATCCCTGCCTACAGAGAGGGAAACTGCAGTCCAAAGAGGTCCTGTGACCTGGTCCTCATGGCTCAGCTTGTAAGTAACAAGAGGCGGAATTAGAGCACAGATCCCCAGACACCAATTCAGAGATCTTTTCATGATGTGGCTCTTCTCCAACTCTGTGGCTTGGCAGTTCTCCAACTATAGGAAACACAACTGACCAAGATCCCAGCTGCACCCTCAAATCCACTGCTGTGATTGCACTGAAGCTGCCCTACCCAATGGCTGAGCACAGCAGAAATACTAAGGCAGGCCAATTCCTGGGAGTCATGGGACTCCTCTGATGACTGACTTTGGCTCCAGAACCCCTTAGGGCCTTGCTGAAACTTCCTTAGGCTCCATGGCACCCAGGGTGCTTCCACCCAACCTTCCCTCCCTCCCTCGTTCACGTGGGGTTATACTTGCAACACAGTCTGCTGGTTCACCCAGCCTTCCCTGGCTCCCTCCCCATTTCCTCTCATGGGCATTTCTTCTAATAAAATCTGCAGACCATATTGGGTCTAATCCCATCTCCAGTCTGCTTCTTGGAGGAACCAGACTAACATGACTCTGCCCTATATAATACAAATAATTATTTTCCATATATCTGATTTTTAGCTTTGCATTTACTTTAAATCATGCTTCAATTAAAGACACACCTTCTTTAATCATTTTATTAGTATTTCTAAGTATGATGGAAAGGTTCAGAGCTCAGGGGAGGATATGGAGATCCAGGGAGGCTTCCTGTAGGAAGTGGCCTGTGTAGTGCTTCAAGGGCCAGGCTGCCAGGCCATGTTGCAGCTGACCACCCACCTGCAGTGTACCGCCGGAAGCACCAGGAGCTGCAAGCCATGCAGATGGAGCTGCAGAGCCCTGAGTACAAGCTGAGCAAGCTCCGCACCTCGACCATCATGACCGACTACAACCCCAACTACTGCTTTGCTGGCAAGACCTCCTCCATCAGTGACCTGAAGGAGGTGCCGCGGAAAAACATCACCCTCATTCGGTGAGCGCCCTGCTGCCGTCCTGGGAGGAGAGGGGTGCAGTGTAGGGGCTGAATGTTATCACAGCACCGCAGACTCCTCTAGCCACAAAAGGCCGGCAGAGCCCTCCCTATGGGCACCCCTAGCCCTCCTAGGAGGACAAGCCTTGACATTCAGGGCCATGTATGTTGGCTTACATTAACTCCCATAGTTTATGGAGTTTATACAATGAGAGGAGAACCAGGGCTCTCCTCAAAATTCATTCAGATGTGCTCTCTCCAAGTCTACCTGGCTCCCCTTCCCTCCAGGGGAGCAGGGGAGCAAAGGGCCCCTCCTCTGAGCATCTAGAGCAACTGCGCCTTCCTCTGTCACTCACTGGAAATACTCCCCAGCCAGTACCCACAGTGATCTGTCTCTCCCCAAGGAGCATGAACCTCCCCCGGGGAAAAGCCATGGCTTATGCACCCCTGTGTCCCTGGCAAATATCAGAGACTCAATAACTACTGATTGAATGAATAAACATTTGACCATTGTCATGAGTCCCTGGTTGGAATCCTTCTTACCAGTTTTCAGGTGAAGAACTGGAAGCCCGAGATTGCATAGCAAAGCCATGTTGAGGGTATTACTCCTGAGTGTGTATGTTACCCCCGCCTCTCGTGTTTGTCCACTAAATGTGACGCCCAGGCTCAGGACCCCCAGCTGCCTCATTATTGTGGCCTGTTTGACTCTGTCTCCTCTTGTCTTCTCCTTTGCACAGGGGTCTGGGCCATGGCGCCTTTGGGGAGGTGTATGAAGGCCAGGTGTCCGGAATGCCCAACGACCCAAGCCCCCTGCAAGTGGCTGTGAAGGTAAGAAGTGGCTCACTCTTGAGCCTGCCCTTGGCTTGCGGACTCTGTAGGCTGCAGTTCTCAGCTCACAGCCTCCTCCTCCTCCCCACCCTCCCCTTCTCTGCCCAGACGCTGCCTGAAGTGTGCTCTGAACAGGACGAACTGGATTTCCTCATGGAAGCCCTGATCATCAGGTAAAGCCACAGAGAGACACCCTCACCCCAACTCCCCTCTGCCCCCAAAGAACCTGGAGAGGTTTCTAACAGATCGATATCTCCAAGGGAAATCGTGTTGTCCCTAGCATGTCCCCTTTTCTCCAGTAGGAGACTCCCAAACATTCTAGACACTTCTTACCAGAATGGAACAACCCTTGATGGTTGTTTCAGAAACAAAGTCTGTGTGGCCTAATAATCCCACCGATGTCACTGTCTGCAACCAGTATCCCTGCTGTTATCCACTGGTTCTTCTTCCCTCACTTTTTCTTAAGAAATGGAGCATGCTAGACTTTGACAGTACAAGATATAATCTCCCTCCAAGACCCTTCACCAATCCCAGTAATTGTGCTTCTAATATGATGGGAGGCCACCCCATCCTAGGCTCCCATCAGCAGGGCTGAGTCTCAGCTGGCTGCACCTTTTGACTTGAGGCTCCAAGATCTGGATTTAAGCTGAGAGTCTCAGTGCCTATGGCTCCTGAGGGCGTCCGCTGTGACAGCAGATCCCCTCAAGGAGGGGGCAGATATTTGACCTCAAGATCAGGTGGGGGCTCATGGCCCCCTGTCACACTGGGAAGACTCTGAACGTCCTGACAGGTGGGGGCAGACTGGGATGTCCCCTTGGTGGAAGTGGCAGGGGTAACAAGGCCAGGCAGTGTGAGTGATATGGCTGTGAGGTCTGGAACCACAGGAGGACACACAAAATAACATTTATTTTCTGATGATACATATAATTCCTGATTATGAATAAAACTTGGCAAGTATGAGATTATATTGAAGAAGACCCATATCACTCAAATCTCACTACTTGGTGGTAACTAACCATTATTATGTTGGTGTCTAATCACCCAGTCTTTCAACACTTGGGGGGCTGTGTGTACATGTGTGTATGCACACACATGCATGTTGGCCCATGTGGAATTCCTAGGCCCTACTGCCCTGTGTGTCCTAAAGGGATCATGTTAACAAGAAAACCCAAGTCTTGGTCCCTCCCATGAGGAATCCACGGGAAACTGATAGACTCGTGAGGCCATCCCCTTTTGCTGGCTCTGTTTCACACGCTGTCACTTGGCAAGTCTCACCCAGTCTCTCTTGGAAGCAGTTGTTTTGCTTCACCTTCTGCCTGAGGCCTTCCTGGGAGAAATCGACCATGAATTCTAGCACCCAGTCCACGCACCAGTATCTGAGAAAGACACTCTCCTGCCCCCTGAGACACTTCCTCACCCAAGTGCCTGAGCAACATCCTCACAGCTCCAGCCACTCTCCTGCAAATGGAA
The DNA here is from genome assembly GCF_000001405.40 of Homo sapiens. Lineage (NCBI taxonomy): Eukaryota > Metazoa > Chordata > Mammalia > Primates > Hominidae > Homo > Homo sapiens. The sequence goes on along the minus strand of NC_000002.12, from coordinate 29,221,046 downwards.
CTCCTGTGGAGCCTGCTGTGGTTCTTCCCACCTGCTCACCAGCAAGATTCTGGGTTTAGGCTCAGCCCGGGACCCCTGCTGCCCATGTTTACAGAATGCCTTTATACATTGTAGCTGCTGAAAATGTAACTTTGTATCCTGTTCCTCCCAGTTTAAGATTTGCCCAGACTCAGCTCAGTTAATTTTGGTTACATCCCTCTCTGCTCTGCAGCAAATTCAACCACCAGAACATTGTTCGCTGCATTGGGGTGAGCCTGCAATCCCTGCCCCGGTTCATCCTGCTGGAGCTCATGGCGGGGGGAGACCTCAAGTCCTTCCTCCGAGAGACCCGCCCTCGCCCGGTGAGTGAGAACCAGTCTTTGCTGCAGTTGTTGTGCCAAGGACAGGAGCAAGGATGGAAGGAGCAAGAGTGGGCAGCCTGGGTAGCAAGTTCCTCGATGGAACCCAGGGTGTCAACTTTAGGCTTGGACAGGGGGGTGACTGACTGGCTGGAAGAGAATGGACAGAAGATAGAGGTAGATGATGGCTGAGCCCCAGCCCCAAGGAGCTTGTGCAAGGCTCCTGCAATGCATTTGTATTAGTCCATTCTTGCATTTATATAAGAACTACCTGACTCTGAGTAATTTACAAAGAAAAGAGATTTAAGTGGCTCATAGTTCTGCAGGCTGTACAGGAAGCATGGTTGGGGAGGCCTCAGGAAACTTACAATCATTGCAGAAGGTGAAGGGGAAGGAGGCACGTCTTACATGGCAGGAGCAGAATGAAGGGGGAAGCGCTGTACACTTTTAAACAACCAGGTCTCATGAGAACTCACTCACTATCATGAGAATAGCAAGGGGGAAATCCACCCATGGTCCAATCACCTCCCACCAGGCCCCTCCTCCAACACTAGGGATTACAATTCAACGTAAGATTTGGGCAGGGACACAAATCCAAACCATATCCACATTCTATAGCCTGGATCCATTCTCATGGCCTGCTGACTCTGGAAAACCAAACTAGAGACAAACACAGAGGAGAACTTTCATGACAGCCATGTAACTACTCAAGCAACTGACCTGGGCAGGTCACTCTGCAGCTACTCATTCAGAGCCCACAGTCCTCACGTCTCAAGTAGGGATAATAATACCTGGACATTCCAACCGTATATTTAGGAAGGTGCTACACACATCTTATGGTTAACAGAGCTTGGGAAGTGAAGATACCCAGGGTGGACCCAGGAATCCCAAGCTCCAGCTCCAACTTGGCCATTAGACACCCGTGTAGTTTAGGGCAGTCTTAAACCTTTAACCTGGGTATCCTCACAGGTGAGATCTGAGGATTGGACTAGAACATCTCAAAGGTGGTTCTAAATTATTAAACATAGCACCCTGGGCAGACCCAGAGCCCAGCTGCCCATGCTTGGGTCTGCAGGTCTTCAGCAGGCCCCGGATACCAGGAACTGGAGCTGAGCAGGCCCCAAGGTTAGGATCCAGGCTTCCTCAACGAACCACTGTACTATGGGGATCACAAGGAAGACTTGCACAGTAAAAGCAGCGGCCACCCTCCCGCTCCCAGGAAAGGAGGGAAGACTGACAGCCAGTGGTTCCAGAAAGCCCAACCTGACCACACTGCTCAAAGGGACTCAAAGTGGTGATGGAAGCCCTGCAAGGTCATAGCTATTCTGATCTCCACCTTCAGTCAGGATCCATGTAAAATACCTTCACCTTAGCCACTGGGTGACGCATCTCAGTATCTAAGAAGAATACTGTCTTACCCCTTGAGAAGAGGAATTTGTGTGCACCTGAGCATACCTGGCAGGAGGACTGGGCAGGGAGCAGGGAGATAAAGACTACACCTGTCTGTCTCATAAGAGCCCTCATCAGCTGGCATCCTCCTCAGACCTTTCACATTTCTCAACACCACCCTATGAACAGACAATGCAGGTCTCTCCCCAATTCTATGGATGAGAAAACGGTGGCCCAGAGAGATTACGGGACTTGCCATGGCCACACAGGAAGTGGAAGAGCTGGGACTAGAACTCAGGCCTTGTGACTCTTGATTCAGTGCCCTCTCCAACTTACTGCTTATCCAGTGGTCCCCTCTGGGAAGCTGTAAACTATCAAGATGAGGTTGTGTCCTTAGAGCCAACACTGCCAGGCATCCAGGCATCTCTGCCATGGTACAGGCATCAGATTCACTGGCTTTCCCACCACCACCTAGGAAGGCAGAGCCTTTGGCCCTCATGCCCTGAGATTCTCAGCAGCACTGCTGTCAGTGGGGGACACGTGGCATCACACTTTGGGAAGAGGCACAGCCCTGGTTCTCCCACTGGACCTTCCTGAGGCTTAAGGAGAGAAAGTTGTATGCATGCAAAGGAGAGGGACTTTGCAAAGGGAGTCTGGGAGCCCAGCACTTGGCAAGTTCAAGGACTTCGGGGGCAGGAGATGGCAGGAGTGAGGAGTGGTGTGTCTCTATCTCTCCCTCTCTCCCCTCCCCCTTTCTCTCTCCCTCTCTCAAAGACAAAGGCATCTCTCTCCTTTGATGATGAAAGATGATTCCAATATTATTACAAAGAACATAGTCCAGCAAGGAAAGGCAGATCATTCTCTCTCTCTCACTACCCCCACCCCAGAGTGCCACCCTCGGAGAGTCAGAACAGGAGCCTGTCCCCAAGTTCTACCCTCTAACAGCAGGCACTACCTGAGGGACCCCCAGAACGGGGAGGGGGCCTGTCCTTGGAAGAGCCACTTCTCAGGGCCAGAGTCCCACCCTCACCCAATCTGCTCTTTCAACCCTTGGCCCCGCTTTTCCTCTGTGTGGCTCTCGTTGCCAACCAGGCACACCCAGGCAGCACCCCAGTCATGGTCCTCCCCGCCTCCCATACACCCACCAGGCCCAGGTGAGCTGTCCTTCCTGGGATCCTTGGCCGATTTCAAATGTCCAATTGTGGCCCTCTAGAGCCACCAATGCAGATGTGTTTGTGGCAGCAGCTTCCCTGGGGCTTAGCTGGGCTTCCTGCATGGATTCTCGGGGCCACAAAATCCAACTTTGTAAGATGAGGATTCAGTGGACTGTGAGAAAGGAATGTGATTTCCAGCAGACAGACAGGACTAATATCAGTAAATCCTACACAGGATAAAGGAGGGTGAATCGGCCAAGGGACATGAGGGATGGAGAAACATGTGCCATGAAGAGAAAGTAGGCGGAGGTGTGCCTCCAGATTCTGAAACTTGGACTTCAGAGGCCTGAATTCCACCTGATTCGCTTGTTGGAATCACCCTGATACTCCTGATACTCCCAGGGGTTCCCTGATGACCTACTGTGTGCAGGAACCAGGCTTGAGGTGCAGAATCAGAGGTCTCTGTCCTCACTTCCTGCCAGCTCTGTAGCTCAGTGGCTCCACAGACCTTAGATCAGGATCAAAGACCCTTTGAGATGGGATAAAAGGCTCTGGCCTCAGACAACATCTGTGCAAACATGAAATGACAGAACGGATGTGCAGACGCGGTAGACAGAGTGGATGCCCAGGTCAGCCGTGCCTGTTGTGGAAACGAAATGCATGGGTACAGATGAAAAAATCACTTGGTCCCAGGGTGCACTGGCTGGCAATGCTCTGCGAGTCTAGATTCAGCATCGGGTTTGCCAATGTCCACAGCTCCTCCCACCCCACCCCACCCATGCACACAGCCCCTCCCAGACACACACCACACACGCACAACACATGCTACACACAAAAAACACACACCACATGCATATATACACACATCACACACACCACAGACATGCACCACACAAAAAACACACCACACACGTACATCACACACTACAGACATAAAACACATCTATGCAACATGCAACACACACAAAACACCACACATGTACACAACACACAGACATATACACAACACATACACTACACACACACACACACACACCACACACGCCCCCCCCCCACAGACACACCACATAGACATATACCACTTACATACACTACACATACACATACAACACACACCACACACATGCCCCCAGACACATACCACATACACTCACGCACACACCACACACACCTCACATGCCACACACACACCACGCACACACCACACACACATCACATGCCACACACACACCCCCCACACACCATAAAGACATATACCACATATACTCACAACCAATCACACATGCCACGCACACACCACACACATACAACACACACCATATATACTGCACATATACACACCACACACATATATGCCACATACACCCCCACACATACACACCACACACACCTCACACATCCTACACAAACCACACACGTACACAAAACACAAACACATATACACACCACAGACATCCACCACACACACCATACACCCCACATATACACAACACATACACAAAACACACACACCATACGCACATATACACAATACACACGCACACCACAGACACGTACACACCAGACACCCCCCATAACCCACGCTTGCTGACTGTCTGCCCTGTGCACACTGATTAGTGGAGCAGTTAATCTGCTCTGAGCAGCCAAGGACAGGGGGCCATAACAGCCTAGCCCGTGAGTTAATGCCCAGAGAGATTTAGTCCCCACAGCGCTCCAGGCTCCTGGGGCTTCCGAGACATCTATGGCCCTCGCATCCTGAGTGATGGATGCTAAGACACAAAGAGACTGGTAGGAAGAAAATCTTCCTCAAGGCCCTAGCACAGCTAGGGCCAGGGCCTCCTCTGGTAGGGACAGAGAGCATGCTCCTGAAGAGCAAAAAGATATTTCGCTCTTCCATCCTGCAAACCCACCATGGGGAGCACCTGCAGCAAGGCCCACGACCATGGCCATGAGAAGAACAGCTGGGTCCGAGGAAGTGCTGCACTCCAGCGGCAGATGGGGATAAAATCCTGATTCCAACTCTTTGCCGCAGGAGGGATGATGCAGGCATGAGTGCTGCTTGATGGGAATGATCAGAGTCTCTGCTGCCCGCCTGTGCAGAGGTACCCCCTCTGCCCCTAACGAGGCCTCTGGATAAGCCAAACACAAGGAGCCATTTTCTGAGTCCCCCTGGTCTCCCATGTGGAAACCCCTCAATACCTCGGGTCCCCTGATGAGGCACTGCCCGAGGCTGCTGGCGTGGGTGCTCCTGACAACCCAGGGAGACCGACAGTCCCACGCCACTGTCACAGATGAAACTGGCTCTGAGAGGCTGAGCAGCCAGCCCCAGACTACATGGCCTGGAAGAGGCCAGCAGGGTGGAGCCCGGGTCAGCTCGATGGGCCACTGAAGTGTGGTGTTTGCCGTTTGTGGGTGCTGTATTCTGCATTTGGTGTGCATTGGGCACTGTAGTCACATACATACGCTCCAACCCCCTTCAGGCACTCTCTCTTCCATTTTAACTCCTTGGATCCCAGGGAAGAGGGAGGATGCCTCTCCCAACCCAGATCCTTAAAGCCCATCTCCGGGCAGCTTTGGCTCCACGCTTATTAGCTGTGTGACCTGGGGTGAGTCAGGTAGCCTCTCTGAGTCCTCAGCCTTCTCATCGTTAATATGGAGATCACCTTCTCTTCCCTACCTACCACACAGCAGATCATGTATGTGCTCTGGGGCATGTAAGGCACCGGTAGGGGAACTATCCACTCTCAGTTGTCTCCCCAAGAACTGAAGCACGGCCTAGAGAAGCAAGACTCTGTCTACCTCCTCCAGACCCAGGCCATTGCTCCAGGGAGTCCTGGGGAGGCCCTGATCTATGGCAGAGAAAAACCTCCAGCAGGCTAAGCCTGCACCCAGACCCCACCTGGTTCCACCGCTGCCGCCTGGCTGGGTGACTTCCCTGTGGGCACCTCAGGACTAAAGAGCCCAGTCCTCAGCCCACCCTTCAAAAGAAGAGCAAAATAGGAGAGCTACAAGCATGAATTTCCTGCAGGGAGTTTGCCCAGGTGCTCAAGAGTCACCAGCTTAAACAAACACCTTTCTTGGGGCGGCCCTAAAGGGGATTGATTTGACCCCCTACCTGCGTGTGCTTTCTTGGGGAGGTATGTGAATCATACTCCTCCAGGTAAATCCTGGCCTGCAGCTATAATCAACCAATCAGCCACGCAACACTCACTGAACCCCCAGTGTGTGTCCAGCATTGTGCTGGGTGCTGTGGGAGGGTGAGATCCCTGTCTCTGGAACTTCATCACCGTGACTTGGGGAAATGGTGAAATCAACATGGAACAACACAGTGACTCGGACACTGCATGAAGCTGAGCTGCCGCACACGTCAGGGATTTAGGAATTAAAAGAGAGGCCAAGATGGGATGTCGCCTTCTGGAAAGGCTTCATTGTGCTCAGCAAGGCTGTCCAGGAAGCCAAGATGAGATGTCCCCAGAGGGGTAGGGAGGTGACATCTCCTTTTGAATGAAAGAGACCTCATGCGGAAAAGCTTGAGATAGCTCATAATTGCCCAGCATTTCCCAAAAGCTTTTCTTTTTCAATCAATTTTAGCGCTGGATCTGCTTGAAGAAAATTAGTTTTAAGAAATATTTTAAGACATTTAAATCGAGGATTTTTAAAACTCCCCTATTCCCCTGTGGTTTCCTCACAAACTTGTTTATAAATTGGGGGTATTCAAATGCTTATGAAGATTGGGGTGAGAGAATGTGCACAATAAATTAAAAGGGAAAGAACACCTGCTCCAACCTAGCTTCCCGGAGTCTGGGTGTTCCGAGCCTTCGCTGCACGCTGGCATCATATTACCTGGGAAGACTTCAAATGTACAAATACTATGCCCACCCAGAGAGGTCTGGGTTGGGGCCCAGGCATCCAAATTCTTTCAAATGCCTCCAGGTGATTTCTAATGTGCAGCCAGGGCCGAGGCCCCTGGTGTAGCTGCATGTTCACGGTCTGCCTCCTTGTGAGCACTGGAAGCCAGCATTTCAGATTTCCCTCCTCTCACTGACAAGCTCCTCGTCAGTGGCCCGCTTCTGTCTCCCCACAGAGCCAGCCCTCCTCCCTGGCCATGCTGGACCTTCTGCACGTGGCTCGGGACATTGCCTGTGGCTGTCAGTATTTGGAGGAAAACCACTTCATCCACCGGTGAGTCAAAGTGACTGTGCTCTTCCTGTCATCCTGTCGCTGATCTGTGTGCTTCCCCGCAGATCTCAAGGGCTCACATTTCCCCCTTCAGAGCAGAATACTAGGTCTCCCTCCAGAGCCATTTGGATGTAGGATGATTCAGCTTTGTTTTATTGTTTTTTTGTGAGAGACAGGGTCTCACTTTGTTGCCCAGGCTGGTCTCGAATTTCTGGGCTCCAGTAATCCTCCCACCTTGGCCTCCTGAAATGCTAGGATTTCAGGCATGAGCGATGGCTCCTGGCCCCTTCAGCTTTGTCTTTGAGATGGTAACTTATTCTATCAGGGATTCACTTGCCCCTTACATAAAACAAGTGTCATAAAATATCCTCGCCAGGGCTGGAGACCTATAAGTTATTCTTAACCTCCTGTGAGGACCCCTGCCTGTATCTTGAATGTTCAAGTCCTATATCACTTTAAGGCTTCCCCCTGCCATAGAAAACTGGGCTCCTTATGGGGAAGTTAAGGAATTGCATTTTTGACAATGGGTGGCTTATAGGCAAGGATGCTGTTTTAGTCATCTTTGTATACTTGGCATAGACACAATGTTTGTTGGATACATTAATTTTTTCTAAAATACTCTGAAATGAAGCATAAAGATGATTTTCATTGCTTCTATACTTAGTTTCTTCTATTACAATCATTCTTGTGTTTAAAAGCTGTATAGACTGGGACATCATGCTGTGAACATCATATATCATGTATGTCTTTCCTTGTGAAAGCTGATGACTTTCTCAGCTGACAGCTTGAAATCAGAAAAGTAAAACAGATCATCAGGCTCTTTGCAAAGCTCTTCCTTAATGATTTGCCTCTAATGTAGTAAATAATAACCTGGTGAACTCACAATAATTTATTAACACATGTCTTCTAAGAGTTTAAGGCATGTTCATAATAATTAAAATATGTAAGTACAAAAGAGAAAATGAGAGATGTTGTAAGAGCTTAGAAATAGAAAAGTATCATGCCTGTAATCCCAGCACTTTGGGAGGCTGAGGCGGGAGAATCACATGAGGTTGGGAGTTCGAGACCAGCCTGACCAACATGGAGCAACCCCATGTCTACTAAAAATACAAAATTAGCCAGGCATGGTGGGGGACGCCTATAATCCCAGCTACTCGGGAGGTGAGGCAGGAGAATCACTTGAACCCAGGAGGTGGAGGTTGCAGTGAGCTGAGATCGTGCCATTGCACTCCAGCCTGGGCAACAAGAGCAAAACTGCATCTCAAAGAAAAAAAAAGAAAAAACAAAGAAATAGAAAATCATGCAAATATATAACAAGTTATGCTTTCTCCCTAATAAAAATGGGGAAATGAGAGGTCAGGAAGTACACTTGCCTAAGTTCCAAAGTCACTCCTAACATGAGGCAGTCAACTCTCAGAAGAGCTTATCCTCTTCCTGTCACTTCATCCTTTTAGCCTTCAGTTCTCCCTCCAGCTTCTAACCCTTTCCAACTTGCAGGTCATACTGCTTCATAGAAATAATGGAAGCCAAAAAGGAGCTGGGCCTAGCTTTACCATCTGCTCCTTCTAAGAGTCTATCAGTTCTGTTCTTTTTTTTAAGGTAGTTTTTCAGCCCTTTCCCCGCTCCCCAGTCCTGTTCTTGTCCTTTGCATTGTACCCAGAACTTTCCATAAATCTCAGCTCTGGGCTTTGCCATTCCATTGCTCAGTCAAGACCAAGCTGTGCTCCTTTTGAAGTCGTCCTTGGTTAGAGTCATCTTTCCATCTTTGTCCATGTGCTTTAAGTCTAGACTCCTATGAGAGCAACCCGCGTCACCTGGTGGCCAGATGTCTTCCTTCACTTAGCACTGGGATCTTTTCTACTTGTCTTTTGTTTTTTATCTCTGCCCACGTTGGTCACCATAGCATACAGATTCTCTGGCTGAGGGATCATTTCCATTTGTCCTCTGACCTTTTGACATCTCCTTTCCTACAGCCACAAGACATTTTGATGATACCCAATGCTCTGTTGCTATGATGTTAACAGGATTACATTCCCTCAAGACTCCTGTCACTTCCATATCTGGAAATAGTTACTGAAGGTTAGAATTAGATCCCAGAGTAATCATTTATTGCTCTTTTCTCCTTTTTAAGAAATTAAATTGTCAAACACCAAATCAAGAAGGTATCAGATGATCTGTTTTAAGCAAAAGAAAACTTCTGGCAGAAACTGTCCTTCTGGGGCAATTTGGTCATCTGTATGGAAAAAACGTCTTTTACATGTTCTAACTAGCTAAGAGGTCTGTGGTACATACCCACAACAGAGTTGCCTCGAATTCTCTCTCTCCCTCCACCCTTTATCTGCTCTTAAGATTCATGGACTTCCACACATGTATACTTTTACGCTTTTGGAATTCAGAGTGGAACTTCCTCACCAGATCCACATGCTTCCATTTTTTTAAAAAAATTGGATCTTTTTCCTTTGGACATGGTTTATTGCCATTTCATAAATGACGTGTCACTCTCCCAACTCTTGATGTATTCTATGTACTGCATTTACCTTCTTGCCATTAAATTCACGATCACTTTTTAAAACAACCATTCCATACACATCAGTGTAAAGACTTTTCTGGAGCCATAAATATTGTTCCTGGTCTACTTTGCTATATTTCTCTTGAGAATTAACGGCTATACAGCCAACTATTTTTCTTTCTTTTTGATGTCATATGTGTTATGCTTTTATGGTTTTATGGGGGCATTTTATACACCACCTCAAAATTCAACTTAAACCTTCTGGATCAGGTCAGCAGCATTAACAACATGAATCTCCTACCTGAACCCGTTATTCTTGTACCCTCAGTCATGATCCCCAATCAAGATCCTTTTTTTTAAATAGTATCCTAGTAGCCAGTTGATTCTCTAAGTCCTTTCTCAACCTAGGATCAGAACCATCATGAAACCAGTTGAACATGAAAACAGCAGCTGTGCTCCCTAAGTACATCTTGTTTTTTCCTGCACAGGACCTTAATATTATTAGAGACCCATCCCAGACTTCTTCTGGCTGTATCCTTCATTCCTACATGCATGACCAGAATGGTAAGCAGAGAGTAGAAGCTGATGAGTCTTGGACAGCGGTTGACCATGCCTCAGAGGCAGGCTACAGGAAAGCAGGTCATCTATAGTCAACAGCAGAGATGACAACTTTATCACCTGGAAGAAGCGATTCTTCAGCCATGTAGCTTAGCAAGGGCTTTAGATAAAATCATGGACAAAAGAACCATAATGGCTTATTTTAAAAATTAATAATAATAACTTTGGGAGGCCGAGGCAGGTGGATCACCTGAGGTCAGGAGTTCAAGACCAGCCTGGCCAACTTGGTGAAACCCTGTCTCTACTAAAAATACAAAAAATTAGCCAGGTGTGGTGCTGCATGCCTGTAACCCCAGCTACTTGGGAGGCTGAAATAGGAGAATTGCTTGAACCCGGGAGGCAGAGGTTGCAGTGAGCCAAGATCGCACCACTGCACTCCAGCCTGGGTAACAGAGCAAGACTCTGTCTCAAAACAAAACAAAAAACTAGAAATATTTGTGAATATCTTAATCTACTTGAATTTGATTTCAGGGAAGTCATGCTGTTCTAAAACACTTTTTCAAACAACTGGCAGAAACCAGCCCGTGGTTTGTACCAAATCTGCCTAAGGCCAGATAGCATTCCTTATGGCCCTATGTTATCTACTTTTAGCTTACTTTTTAAAAAATAAAATGAGGACAGTAATAGCACCTTGTGTCTTATAAGGTTGTTGTGAGAGTTAGATATGAAGCACTTACAACAACACTTAGCACCTAGTAAAAGGCTAATAAATCCTAGTTCCTAGTATGATGCATTTCATTATGGTTGCCCCATTAAACATTTTTAATCATTTCCCCTAATCCTTTTCCATTTCTCTCTTAGTTGTGAGGCCTAGAATTGTTAAGGCTGTTTCTCTCACACTGAAGTATACTATACTAAAGGAAATATAGGGAAGGGAAGGAACTATTTAAACTTCAGCTTGGAGATAAAATCCTAGTGATGGCCGTTGTACACTCATCTTCCTAGGGATAAAATTAGGAAATGCATTTCCTTTCTTCCCAGAGACATTGCTGCCAGAAACTGCCTCTTGACCTGTCCAGGCCCTGGAAGAGTGGCCAAGATTGGAGACTTCGGGATGGCCCGAGACATCTACAGGTGAGTAAAGACTGCCTCACCCCTCCGGGCCTGTCTCTTCCACCTCAGCCCCTCAAGAATGGGGTGTGGCTGCTTGTCCCTTACATCATCTCCTGGTACCCTGTCAACTTTCTACCTAAAATTTCACTAAGTTCCTTTTCAGGCTATGGGAAACCTTAATTAGTGACCATGCCCGAAGGCCTAAATCTGGGATCACACTTCCTGCAGTAATTGACACCAAGCTTTTTTTTTTTTTTTTTTTTTGAGACGGAGTTTCGCTCTTGTTGCCCAGGCTGGAGTGCCATGGCACGAACTCGGCTCACCACAACCTCTGCCTCCCGGGTTCAAGCGATTTTCCTGCCTCAGCTTCTCGAGTAGCTGGGATTACAGGCATGCACCACCATGCCTGGCTAATTTTTTGTATTTTTAGTAGAGACGAGGTTTCTCCATGTTGGTCAGGCTGGCCTCAAACTCCCAACCTCAGGTGATCTGCCCGCCTCAGCTTCCCAAAGTGCTGGGATTACAGGTGTGAGCCTCCATGCCCAGCCAACACCAAGTTCTTAATTAGGTTGTCCATCGGTTCCAACTGTAATCTGGCCATGCTCTGAGACATGGGATAACTTGGATACTTGATGTGGAAAGACCTTCAAAGTGAGCTTTATTGAACTTCCTCAACTCCTCAGTACTCAGGAATTCTAAGTGGCTATGGCTTCTAACACCGCAGGCATCTGCATCCCAGGTCGGGCAGGATGCAGGGCCTGGCTCATTGCTCAGCTTTAGCCACCCCAGGAGATGTGGAGTATAGCGCAGAACCCATCAGTACTTAGCGCAGCCTTATTTTTTTTTTCCCTGTCACATTTTCAAGACTACATTTTAAAAATTATTTTTTTTTTCAGTTTTAAAAGCTAATACTACTTTAATTGTACTTTTTCTCACTCTTCTCTTCCTAGCCTCTAGTTCCTTTTTTTCCCTGATTATTTACAACACTGACTTGCTATGTGAGCTCAGCAAGTCCCTCCTTGCACAGGATGACCCCTTCCCTAACTCACAGGGGTAGAGAGAGGAGCAATCGTTATATGGAGCTTTAACTCTTTGGGGAATAAGTGAGACTGATCCAGACACCACCCCTGAAGGCCTCCATCAAACATGGTAACAGTCCCCACAGGGGTGAGCATGCTGAGGCCATCATGTTACCACGGGGCAGCAGCATGTGGAAGATGTAGTAAAGACGTCTCTGGAGTGTCTACCACTGCTATCCGTCGCACTCCTCTCCTCTGCTCCACTTCGCCTTCTAACACTACCCACAAGCTCAGCGTTCCTTCCTCTCCCTCCTCAGAATACCCTGGGACTGCCTCTCATTTCAAATACAAATGCTGCAGCATGACTCCTCGAGCCCTCTGTTATCTGACTTTTCCTTCCCAGGCTCAGCTCTGACAGCTCCCAGCTCCAGGCTTCAACCACCCTAAGTTACCTACAGTCCTTCATTCCCCACCTACTCTGCACTTTGTACAATGGCACGGGTCAGGAATGGTCTTCTGGGAGAGCGTCTTTTCTCCTCAGCTCCATCAGTGCCCTTCTGTGAAGCTTTCCCTACCCCTGCCTCAAGTAGAATGAATCAATTCTTCATTTGTGTCACTGAGCCTTGCACATACCTGCATTACTGTGTTTTCTATATTGCAATGCATATATATCCATTTCTTCCACTAAACAATATCCTTGGGAGAGAGAGACTGACCTATTTATGTCCTCAGCACATGGCAGAGTACCTGATACATACTAAATATTCAGTACTTATTTATTGAGGTAATTAATTAATGTCGACAGCTGGCAGGAAGCTGCTTCCTGTAACACACTCACACAGGAGAACACCAGGCTAGACATGCAATTGGCCTAACAGGCAGATGAGTTAATTTATTGGTTTTTAGCAGTGAGTTGCATTAATGACATTACTGATGAAAACTAATAAATTAACTCATCTACCTTGTAAGCCAACTCCACACCTAGCCCTGTGTTCTTTTGTCTGGGTGTGTCATGGGAGGCAGCATCCACACAGCTGTCTAGATTACTGGTTGATTGCCTATACTGAACTAAATGCTGTGTGAGTGTCAGAGGATCCAAAATGATTAAGACACAAGCCCTGCTCTCAGTTCTCCCATTTTGGATCTTGCATTACTGCAGATCATCAGAAACACACTATACTTATAAGGTTGGAGTAATGTTATTCATTGTGAGCTATAATAAACAAAACCCAACAGAGAAAGCTAAACATCTGCTAGCAGGTATCTTAGTCATTGCATAGATCATTCCTCTCATGCCTCTCGTGGTTTGTTTTGTCTTCTATTAAATGACACCAAAGTTCTTAACTAAATGATCTGTGTGCCCCTGCTCTCCTCCTGAACCGCCAAGGACTCATGGTTAATTTCAGACCTTTAATGGGTAGACTATATTGTTGCCACTTTCTCAACTTTCCCAGCAGGGCAGATGCTTAATGCCATCTCCAGATCCTAGTTTGGTTTTCCTCTCCTTCCCCACAGGGCGAGCTACTATAGAAAGGGAGGCTGTGCCATGCTGCCAGTTAAGTGGATGCCCCCAGAGGCCTTCATGGAAGGAATATTCACTTCTAAAACAGACACATGGTAAGTCAGCCATCATCCTCCAGGTATCCCTGCAGCCATAAGGTGGTGCTCCTGGGCCAAAGGACTCTATACTCTAAGCCGGGAGCCCGTGTGTTAGTAGGGAGGGAAAAGAGAAGAATCAATACACCCGACAACAGTGGTTCTCAAACGTGAGCATCTATCAGAATTCATAAAGACTTGTTAAAATTCAGATTATTGGACCCTACCCTGGGAATTTATGATTCAGAAGGTCTGGGATCTAGCTGAGAATTTGCATTTCTAACAAGTCCCAGAGTGATGCTGCCATTGCTGGCTGGGACCACACATTAACAGCCACATGTAATTTTAAATGGCAGATTGAACACATGCCCCTCACAAAGTACACATACATACACACACACACACACACACACACCAATAAAGGGAGTCTTTTAGTTGCATTAAACCCTGCAAGAACACAACAATGACAAAATTTTGGAAACTGGGAAGTCATGAACAAGTGGTACCTTACTGAGAAGATTAGAAAATGGATCTCTAAACCAAGTCCAGATCCAGAAACAGGGCTGGTTCCCTCTGCCTGAGAGCCCCAGAAAGGTCCAGAAATTGAAAGTAGGGGTGTAGGCCAGGCACGGTTGCTCATGCCTGTAATCCCAATACTTTGGGAGGCTGAAGCTGGAGGACTGCTCGAGCCCAGGAGTTCAAGACCAGCCTGGGTAGCATAGCAAGGCCCCATCTCTACCATAAATTTTAAAATTAGCCAGGTGTGGTGGTGCACGCATGTGGTCCCAGCTACTCTGGAAGCTTGGATGGGAGGTTCACTAGAGCCCAGGAAGTCAAGGCTGCAGTGAGCTATGATCATGCCACTCCACTCCAGCCTGGGCAAGCAAGAGAGGGGGAGAGAGAGGGAGGGAGGGAACGAGAGAGAGAAAGAAAGAAAGGGAGGGGAGAGGAGGTAGAAGGGAGGGGCAGAGAAGAGAGGAGAGAGAAGAAAGGGAGGGAGGGAGGAAGAAAAGAAGGGGAGGTATAGCAAACAGGAAAATTCATGAAAGGTCTGTTTAAGGAATAAGTAAATCCTGTGGCTGAGCCCCTCACCCCTGAAGCTTGCTGGCTGTCCCTTATCTACCATCAGCACAAGACTTGGGCTCTCTCTCTGAAGAGACTGAACTGAAGTCTCCCTGGTCCTGGCCCCCACTGGCCCCTCAGCACCAAGAATACTGGCAACTGGGCAGATCATCAGAGAATTTCTCTTTGGAGGACCGATGAAGAGAAAATTACAGATACAGTACTGCCAAGTGGGGCACAGGTGCAGTGGGCTGAGTAATGGCCGCCCGAGGGTATCAGGTCCTAATCCCAGGGGCCCAGAATTGTTGCCTTATAAGGAAAATGGGTCTTTGCAGATGTGATGAAGTTGAGGATACTAGAGTGGGGCAGCTGTCCTGGATCATCTAGGTGGGCCCTAAATGCCATCGCAAGTATCCTTATAAGAGAGAAGGACCAGGAGATTTCACACACACAAAAGAAGAGGGAGTGTGAGCACAGAGGCTGAGACTGGAGATGCGGCCCCAAGTCAAGGAGGTCCCGCAGCCACCAGAAGCCAGAAGAAGGAGGGAACAGATTATCCCCTAGAGCCTCCAGAAGGGACACAGCCCTGCTGATGCCTTGATTTCAGTCCTGTGATACCAGTTTCAGATGTCCGGCCTTCAGAACTGTCAGAGAATGAACTTATGTTGTTTTAAGCCACCAAGCATGTGGTTGTTTGGTTGGTTGGTTGGTTTTGTTTTTTACAACAGTCACAGAAAATTACAGCTAGTGAAACAAGCAAGCAAGCTACCCACCAGCCAATGTGTTACACAGAACTTTCTACTGGCTTCTTAATATCCCAGTCTTAAAATATGAACAGACAGCCAAGAATCAACAAACATTTAAGAAAATATTCTAATCTGAAGAAAACACACATATAAAAAGGAACTTGAAGAAACATGTAGAAAGTTTAGGAAAACTTTCTAAAAAACTATAATATCCTCCAAAAGATCAGAAAAACTATTGCAACCATAAATGGAGGACAAAAGGTTATTTTAAACAATACTCTTAGGAGGATAAGGAAATCCAAGTGTGATAAGAGGTGGCCTCAAGGAGATAGGCATGGCTACCCTGAAGCCTGTGTGGGCTGCGTGTTCTCACTTTCTTCCAAAGAGTACAGGGCTGGGTCAGAGGGGAAAAGAGAAACTTCACAGTGGAGAGACCTGACAAATAACGACCTCAGCCAGGTGCTCAAGGTCAACCTCAATAGTGATAAGTCTAGGGGCCAAGCACAGTAGCTCATGCCTGTAATCCCAGCTCTTTGGGAGGCCAAGGTGGGCGGATCACCTGAGGTCAGAAGTTCGAGACTAGCCTTGCCAACATGGTGAAACACATCTCTACTAAAAACACAAAATTTAGCTGGGCATGGTGGTAGGCCCCTGTAAACCCAGCTACTCAGGAGGCTGAGGCAGGAGAAATGCTTGAACCTGGGAGGTGGAGGTTGTAGTGAGCTGAGATTGTGCAACTGCACTCCAGCCTGGGTGACAAGAGCGAAACTCCATCTCAAATAATAATAGTAATAACAACAGGGCTGGGTCATGTTGCCAGTATGTTCCCCTGATGTGATGAAAATGGTACTTTACCTCTGTGGTCTTCTTCCTCCCCACATCCCGTAACCACAGTCTAATCATGAGAAAAACAGACAAATCCCAATTGAGGAATATTCTACAAAATCCCTGACCAGATTCTCAAACCTGTCAAGGTCATAAAAAACGAGGAAAGTCGGAGGTGTTGTCATAGTCAAGAGAAGCCCAAAGAAACAAGACAATTAAATGTAATGCGATATCCTAGTAGGACTCTGGAATAGAAAACAGAGATTCAGTGAAAACTAAGGAAATCTGAATGAAGTATGGGCTTTAGTCAATAATGCCTTAACTGTGGTTCATTAATTGTAACACGTGTATCGCACTAGTGTGATGCTAACAGTAGCAGGGATCAAGTGTGAGGTATAGGAGAACTCCGTGTATTCATAGTTTCTTCCAAGTTTGAACTGTTCTAAGAAAAAAATCTTATTATTTAAAAATTTGATGACAGAAATGCAATGAAAAGGATGGAGTGTGAAGCTAAATAAACCTTCCAGAAAATAAACCTAAAAAGAGATGGAAAATATAGGAAAATATAATAATTTTTTATTTAAAAAATTAAGGGGTAGACCAAAAGGTCCAATTTAGCTGACAAAATAGGAGTCCCAGAGAGAAGGAACAGAGGAAATGAAGAGAATAAAGACAGCAGAGCAATCATTCAAGATTTCCTAGCACAGGACATAAATTTCCAGAATGAAAGAATTCACCAAGTGCCAATCACCATGGGGAAAAAGGGCATATCCTCGGCCGGGCGCAGTGGCTCACACCTGAAATCCCAGCACTTTGGGAGACCGAGGCAGGTGGATCATGAGGTCAGGAGTTCGAGACCAGCCTGGCCAAGATGGTGAAACCCGTCTCTACTAAAAATACAAAAATTAGCTGGGCGTGGTGGCGGGTGCCTGTAATCCCAGCTACTTGGGAGGATGAGGCCAGAGAATTGCTTGAACCTGGGAGGCGGAGGTTGCAGTGAGTTGAGATTACTGTAGCCTGGGCGACAGAGCAAGACTCTGTCTCACAAAAAAAAAAAAAAAAAAAAAAAAAAAGGCACATCCTCAGGCCAATGGTGATAAAGATCCTGCAAACTTCCACAAAGAAAATTTAAAAATTAATAGTAAAAAATAATAGAGATAAAAGATAAGGAATCCAAATGGCATCAAATTGCTTAACAGCACCACAGGAAACATAAGAAGACAATGCAAGAATGAAAAACCTCCACATTTTGAAAGCCTGGAGCTGAGATCATGTCATAAGATGGTGCGGCCACAAATAGTCAGAGCTGCCTTTCTGACCAGCATTAGATAATGAGAGCAAGAGCCTTTGTTGTTTTTACACCAGTGAGATTTGGTTTTAACCTAACCCAGTGGATCTCTAAGTGTGGTCCATCAGCACCACCTGGGAACTGCGAATCCTCGGCCCCCACCTCAGGCCTAATACAACAGAAACTCTAGGGGTGGGACTCTGCAATCTGTGTTTTATCAGATGATTCTGATATGCAGGGAAGTTAGAGCACCAGCAACCCAGGGGATCCAGAGACAGAGAATAACTTAAGCAATTAAGTAATTGTCCTGAACACACACACATCCTGTGACCTAACGCTCCTATTTTTAAGTAAATACATTAGAGAGAAGATGACACAAATAGACTTGGGCGCTGGATGTTCACTTGCAACATTGTTTACAATAGAGAAAAAGCAAAACAAAAACAAAAATAAAAACAAAACCCAACCCAACTACCCCTCAACTAGGAGATGGAAAAATTAACTGTGGTTTACTTACATCATGGAAAACTATTCCGCAGTATAAAAGAAGACAACCTACATATATCAACATAGATAAATCTCAAAAACAGTGTTCAGTGGGGAAAAAGCAAATTACAAAAAGGAGTAGGATATCATTTATGTATAACTTTACAATATAAAAAATGTCTATAACACAGTATCGTTTGCGCTTTCACGCATTGTTTAAAAATGTGAAACATACAATTGTAGGATACAGTCTAACTTCAGGAGAGCAGAGAGAGGGAGGTGGGGTCTTTCTGTCTCTAAGTCTTCATAAAGAAAGGGAGAGCTGACAAGAATAAGACAAAAGATTAACATCTAGATACATAGATAACTCTGTTCCTTTTTAAAGTTTTGACTGTTTCACAATTGGAATGCTTAAACAAATTATATAGCTGCAAGGATTAGGAAGTGCTCTAAGACAATCAGGCAGAAAGAGGAGGAGCTGGGGTTTTTTTGGCAAAGGTGGGCGGGGGGAAGCTCCTTACCGGAGGTAACTTCAATACCTGAAAGAAAGGGCAGGCCTTGGAAAGATCTGAGAGAAAGGCTTTCCAGACTGCAGGAAAAGCCAGTGTGAACAGCCAGAGGCAGGAAGGAGCCTAGCTTGCTTGCTGAGGAATGAAATCAAGTCCTGATGGTCGGAGCTAAGGGAGCCCAGGGCCAATAGGGGTGGAAGGGATGGGTCAGAACACAGACGGCCTTGGAACTCAGATGGGGGATGTGGATTTTATTCTAAACACCATGGGATGCCGGTTGAAGGGTTGTAAGCAGGAGTGTGATATGATCTTTGCTTTATAAAAAAAATCTCTCTGCCACTGAATTTACACTAGAGGTGGGTAAGTGAAGAAAGAAACCAGTTAAGAAAATCCTGCACATTGCTAGCTGAGAGAAACAGGAGAGCGATGTGGCTTGGTGGTGGCAGTGGAGGTAGCGCAAAGTAGTCAGATTCAAGATTTTTTTTTTTTTTTTTAGACTGTCATTCTGTCGCCCCGGCTGGAGTACAGTGGCGCCATCTCAGCTCACTGCAACCTCCGCCTCCTAGGTTGAAACAATCCTCTCACTTCAGCCTCCCAAGTAGCTGGGATTACAGACGCGTGCTACCACACCCAGCTAATTTTTGTATTTTTAGTAGAGACGGGATTTCACCACGTTGGCCAGGCTGGTCTCGAACTCCTGACCTCAAGTGATCCGCCCACCTCAGACCCCAAAATGCTGAGATTACAGGCATGAGCCACAGCGCCCGGCCTCAAGATCTATCTTGAATGTAGAGTTAACAGGACTGCTGACTGTTGGATGGGAAGTGGAGGGGTGTGGGATAACGGAGTCAAGGATGACTCCTGGGTTTTGGGCTTGAACAAATGCATAACCAGAGGTGCTGCTGAGTTGGGAAAGAATGAAAGAGGAGATGGTGTGGGTTCAGAAGGAGTTCCGTTTGGGCATGTTAAATTTGAGTTGCCTATTAAAATAGGCCAGTGAAGCTAATGAGTGGGCATCTGATAGATGAAACTAAAGATCAGAGAACTGTATGAGATCTTGGTGTATGAGATCTTGGAATCCACTGGATGGACATTTAAAGATATTAATTTTTGGCTCCCATTTTTCCTAAGAGCATAACCTCTATCACACC